>NT_167244.2:3087566-3173057 GCF_000001405.40 Homo sapiens
TGGCCAGGATGGTCTTGATCTCCTGACCTCGTGATCCACCCGCCTCGGCCTCCCAGAGTGCTGGGATTACAGGCGTGAGCCACCTCACCCGGCCAATATTTCAGGGTAATTTCTAAAAGAAAATTATTTTTTAAAAAGAATAACAGTATTGTTATCTTACTTTAAAAATTGTATTATTTGGTATCATCAAATATCTGAAATTTTTCTTTTTTGAGACAGGGTCTCACTCTGTCACCCAGGCTTGAGTGCAATGGCACAATTGTAGCTCACTGCAGCCTCAAACTGTTGGGCTCAAGCGATCCTCCCCCCTCAGCCTCCTGAGTAGCAGGGACCACAGGTGATGGCCATCACACCGAACTAAGTTTTTATTTTTTGCTTGCATTTATTTATTTATTTATTTATTTATTTATTTATTTATTTATTTTTGAGACGGGATTTTGCTCTTGTAGCCCAGGCTGGAGTGCAATGGTGTGATCTCGGCTCACCGCAACCTCCACCTCCTGGGTTCAAGTGATTCTCTTGCCTCAGCCTCCCAAGTAGCTGGGATTACAGGTGCGTGCCACCACGCCCAGCTAATTTTGTATTTTTAGTAGAGACAGGGTTTCTCCCTGTTGGTCGGGCTGGTCTCGAACTCCCGACCTCAGATGATCTGCCTGCCTCGGCCTCCCAAAGTGCTGGGATTACAGGCGTGAGCCATTGCACCTGACCAATTTTTTATTTTTTGTAGAGACAGGATCTCACTATGTTGCTCAAGGTGGTCTCAAACTCCTGAGCTCAAGTGATCCTCCTGCTTGGGCCTCCCAAAGTGCTGAGACTATTGGTGTGAGCCACGATGCCCAGTCAGATGATGGCCCTAGTCCTTTTTAATCTACCGGTTCCTTCTCTATCTTTTCTCTCTTGTTCTTTCTTTCTTTTTCTCTTTTTCTTCTCCTGGCAATTTGTTGAAGAAACTAGATTATTATTTGTCTTATAGTGTTTTCCATTAGCCTGGATTTTGCTGTTTGCATTTCCTAGATGTTTTTGGCACATTTCTCTCTCTTCTATAGTTTCTGTAAATTAATATTTAGTTCTAGAAGCATGATTAGGTTCAGAGTTTTTTTTTTTCAATACTGTTTTAGAAGTAGAGGAACATAATGTCTGATATGTCCGATTGTCTCTCTTTTTCTGATGTTGGCAAATGTTCTGATGTTTAATACCTAAATCTATTATTCATTTATTTATTTATTTATTTAGTTTGAGGTGAGTCTCCCTCTGTCGCCAGGCTGAAGTGCAGTGGCACGATCTTGGCTCACTGCAACCTCCGCCTCCTGAGTTCAAGTGATTCTCCTGCCTCAGCCTCCTGAGTAGCTGGGACTTACAGGCGCACACCACCACGCCCAGCTAATTTTTGTATTTTTAGTAGAGACGGGATTTCACCATGTTGGCCAGGATGGTCTTGATCTCTTGACCTCAGGTGATCCACCCGCCTCAGCCTCCCAAAGTGCTGGGATTACAGGCGTGAACCACTACACCCAGCCATCTATTAATTCTTTAGCAATTACAAAGTAGTAGCATTTAAATCTCTGATTCTTTCTTCATTTATTAGCCAGAAATTTCTGTAAAGAGAAACTTCCTTTTATGTACTATTTGGTTGCCAAGTGATAGAAATCATATAGAAATACAGAAAATTGCTTGATATTTCCCCCACTCTTTTTTTTTTGAGACAGAGTCTTGCTCTGTCACCAGGCTGGAGTGCAGTGGCACAATCTTGGCTCACTGCAACCTCCACCTCCCGGGTTGGGTTTCAAGTGATTCTCCTGCCTCAGCCTCCCGAGTAGCTGGGACTATAGGCGTGTGCCACCATGCCTGGCTAATTTTTGTATTTTTAGTAGAGACAGGGTTTCACCATGATGGCCAGGATGGTCTTGATCTCTTGACCTCGTGATCCACCCGCCTCGGCCTCCCAAAGTGCTGGGATTACAGGTGTGAGCCACCATGCCCAGCCCTTTTTTTTTTCCCCAATATGGAACGCTTCTTGAATTTGTGTCATCCGTGCCCAGTGGCCGTGCTAATCCCTGTAACCTTCGAAATTTCAGTATATGTGCTGCAGAAATGAGCACCCCCCACCTTTATTTACTAGCTATCAATATGGTAAATTAGTTCCCTAACATTCTCCAAGATAGCCATGAGATTTTTTTGTTTTTTGTTTGTTTGTTTGTTTGTTTGTTTGAGATGGAGTCTTGCACTGTTGCCCAGGCAGGAGTGCAGTGGCGCGATCTCGGCTCACTGCAAGCTCTGCCTCCCGGGTTCGCGCCATTCTCCTACCTCAGCCTCCTGAGTGCCTGGGACTACAGGCGCCCGCCACCACGCCTGGCTAATTTTTTGTACTTTTAGTAGAGACAGGGTTTCACCCTCTTAACCAGGATGGTCTCAATCTCCTGACCTCGTGATCCACCCGCCTCAGCCTCCCAAAGTGCTGGGATTACAGGTGTGAGCCACCGCGCCCGGCCCTGATAGCCGATGAGGTTTTTTTGTCATTGTTCTTCTTGTATCATTACAGACTCATGGCCTTTTATAGCTATATTTCTCTTTCTCCCGACTCTGTACAAACTCCTTTGTTTTAGAGTTTGCACAACCCTCTATCAAAGCACCTACCACCTCACTTTTAAATCTTCTGCATGTATTTCTGTCTTCCTTCCTAGACTGTGAGCACATCTGGGACAGGGACCATATCTTTTTTTGTTTATTTGTTTTGTTTTGAGACAGAGTCTCGCTCTGTCGGCCAGGCTGGAGTGCAATGGCGTGATCTGGCTATAACCTCCACCTCCCGGGTTCAAGAGATTCTCCTGCCTCAGCCTCCCAAGTAGCTGGAATTACATGTGCATGCCACCAAGCCCAGTTAATTTTTGTATTTTGAGTAGAGACAGGGTTTCACCATGTTGGTGAGGCTGATCTCGAACTCCTGACCTCAGGTGATCTACCCACCTCAGCCTCCCAAAGTGCTGGGATTACAGGCATGAGCCACTGTGCCTGGCCAGGACCATATCTTAATTGTCTTTGTAGTTTCAGTGTTTGGTACAGTGCCTCTCACTGTTTCTTTTTGCCTTTGAGATCTTCCCTCTTTGTTACTGTGATCTTCCCTACTGGTCTTTGTTCTTCTGAGTCTGTCCCTATCACCACCTCAACCCGAGCTGGATGTGGCCTGTCCTCCTTTTTGTGTTTCTCTCACAGACTGTGTACAGTGCCCTGGGCCTGAGGGATGCCTGCCGCTCCCTGCCGCAGTCCATCCAGCTCTTTCGGGACATTGCCCAAGAGTTCTCTGATGACCTGCACCATATCGCCAGCCTCATTGGGAAAGTAGTGAGTAGAAGGAAAAAGGGAGTGCACCCAGGGAGGTCAGGGAGAGAGAATGCAGTGTGCAAGATGGGGAAACATGGAAGATATTGAGGTCAATTGGATAAAGAATGGGATGGTGGGAGGAGGCAGCAGAACTTCAGGGAAGTATCTGGAGGGTGAGAGTTAAAGGAGGACTGCAGGGAGAATTGGGGCCCAAGGAGAGCTGAGGAACAGGACAGAGGGTGCCAGGTCCTAAGAAACAGTACTTATCTCCTCAGGTGGACTTTGAGGGCAGCCTTGCTGAAAATCGCTTCACAGTCCTCCCCAACATAGATCCTGAAATTGATGAGAGTGAGTGTTGGGTGTGGATGGGCCTGTGAGCCCTGCGCAGTGATGGAGTACCATCCTTGGCAGGTGGTCACCACAGCTGGGGATCTTCATAGCAACCAGGGCAGGAGACTCACTTTTGATAACCACGTGTCTTCCACCCTCGTAGAAAAGCGAAGACTGATGGGACTTCCCAGTTTCCTTACTGAGGTTGCCCGCAAGGAGCTGGAGAATCTGGACTCCCGTATTCCTTCATGCAGTGTCATCTACATCCCTCTGGTGAGGGCAGGAGAGTGGGTGTAGCCTTCAGATGTATTTTGGGGGAGATATTAGGCTTATGAAAGACATACTGGTAGATAAGAAAACTTGTGGGGCAGCCTGAAGAACATGAACACTTTTTTGTGGGGATACAGGGATCTTTTAAGCTCCCTCTAGGGTGGGGAGGTGTCCAGTAAGTCTCCAAGCAGGAGAGTAGAGTATCTCCTCTTTACTCTCCCCAGATTGGCTTCCTTCTTTCTATTCCCCGCCTGCCTTCCATGGTAGAGGCCAGTGACTTTGAGATTAATGGACTGGACTTCATGGTAAGACCCTCAACCTCTGTAAGGTGAGTGATGAGGAAAATGAGTCAGCAGCTGAGGAAGAGCGTTACTCTACAGCAGCACTGCCCAATATGGGATCTCTCCTCTGTAGTTTTACTCTGAGCTTTACCAGCACTGAGACAAAGGAAAGAGAAGTCAGAGTTAGGGGCTGGAGGTGGGGTTAGAAAGATGGGGAAGGAGAGGAGGACCAAGAGATGCAAAGTCCACAGCTTTGAACCCCTGTACCCAGTTTCTCTCAGAGGAGAAGCTGCACTATCGTAGTGCCCGAACCAAGGAGCTGGATGCATTGCTGGGGGACCTGCACTGCGAGATCCGGGGTGAGGAAAAGCCAGAGGTTATATGCATTGTAAGATGTTTAAAAAAAGCAGCAGCCAGGGGAAGGAGGGGAGTGGGCAACTTGGGGATGCTTCCAACAGGCCCCTCCTCTTCCTGCTCTCTGTCTCGCTCACTCTGACTCTATCTTTTCCTCTGAATGTCTTGAGGTCTCAGATTGTATCTGCAACCTGTTTCCAGATCCCCCTAGGGGCCTCTGCCTCTCCTTCACTTTCCCCTGGAACTGACCTCCAGCTCCCTTCCTCACCCACTCCCAGACCAGGAGACGCTGCTGATGTACCAGCTACAGTGCCAGGTGCTGGCACGAGCAGCTGTCTTAACCCGAGTATTGGACCTTGCCTCCCGCCTGGACGTCCTGCTGGCTCTTGCCAGTGCTGCCCGGGACTATGGCTACTCAAGGCCGCGTTACTCCCCACAAGTCCTTGGGGTACGAATCCAGAATGGCAGGTAAGAATAGAGGCGGGTGGAGGAATAGACATGAGGGGCCCAAAGGCTACATCTTCTGGGGGTTCATCTATCTTGATCCACAAGCCATGCGAGGTGCCTCTCCGCCCACTGCAGACATCCTCTGATGGAACTCTGTGCCCGAACCTTTGTGCCCAACTCCACAGAATGTGGTGGGGACAAAGGGAGGGTCAAAGTCATCACTGGACCCAACTCATCAGGGAAGAGCATATACCTCAAACAGGTGAGGAGAAGCCCTGCAGCCTGGGCCTCTGGCGTCTCCTGCATCTACTCCACCCCTACTTGCCAGCCAACTCAGGCTCCTGCAGCTCTTCTCCCATTTTCTGACCCCGCTCTTCATGAAAGGACCATCACCCACATCCCTGTGCTTCCACCTCACATGTTCTTATTCTCCACTGGAGAGCCATGCTCTAATGGAACTTTCCGTGGCCCAAATTCCTTCACCTGCCTCTGAGTAGGTACACACCACTCCCAAGTATGTCTCTGCCCACGTCCCGTGCCTCTTCACTGATTCTAAATTAGCCCACAGGGCTATGGTCAGGATTCGGGGAGGAGAGACAGAGTCAGTGTGTCTGTTACCTATTTCTCCTGTTTCACCCTGTCCATTTCTCTTTGATGTGCCATTCATGCCTTGAGCCTCACTTTCACCTCAGCCCACGGCACCAGGCCCCAGGCCCTGTCTCCTTCCCTATTCAGGTAGGCTTGATCACATTCATGGCCCTGGTAGGCAGCTTTGTGCCAGCAGAGGAGGCCGAAATTGGGGCAGTAGACGCCATCTTCACACGAATTCATAGCTGCGAATCCATCTCCCTTGGCCTCTCCACCTTCATGATCGACCTCAACCAGGTCAAAGGGAACAAAGGGAGGTGGGATTGAGGAAGGGGATAATGGGAAAGGAACCCCTGAAAATGCTCATAACAGGAAAGCATGCCCTCTGCTGCATGCCCTTTATACTAAAAGTGGGGAGCACTAAGGTCAGAGATAAGAAGAATCAATACCATAAACATTTCTTGAACCCTTGTTTCATGTGAGTCACTGTTGGCAAAGAGGATGAACAAAGCGTGCACCTCACCATTCAAGAACTTGCAGTGCAGTAGGGAGGGCATGTATACAGCTTTATTCACAGGCCAACTGTGGTCAGTGCGTTACGGGCTTCCAATACTAACTTTCCCTTGTCCACCTTATACCCAGCAGGTGGCGAAAGCAGTGAACAATGCCACTGCACAGTCGCTGGTCCTTATTGATGAATTTGGAAAGGGAACCAACACGGTGAGGGGAGAAACTGATGAGGGGAGAAACTAAGGAGGGGAAAATGGAGGAGGATGAAGGAGCATGACAGTGAGGCTGGGCCTCTGGAATGGAATAGGGCTGTGTGGGCAGAAAAGAAATAGAACACGAGACAGGGAAAGGCAGTGCAAGTGCAGAGGGGCATATGGGGTCCCCATGGCTCCGAATGCTAACCTCTGCCCTCTTTGCAGGTGGATGGGCTCGCGCTTCTGGCCGCTGTGCTCCGACACTGGCTGGCACGTGGACCCACATGCCCCCACATCTTTGTGGCCACCAACTTTCTGAGCCTTGTTCAGCTACAACTGCTGCCACAAGGGCCCCTGGTGCAGTATTTGGTGAGGAGACCAATCTAGCTCCTCGGGGACCCCCAGGCTGGGCATTTCCCAGAGGTGGGGATTGGCTCCTCTATCAGAACAAGGGCTCCCTCAGCACAGAGACCACATCCCTTCCCTTTTCTCCCTCCCCACAGGATTGGCCAAGGGTTTCAGGACAGGAAGGAGGTGATTGATGATACACTGTCTTTTATTCTCTTTTAAGACCATGGAGACCTGTGAGGATGGCAACGATCTTGTCTTCTTCTATCAGGTTTGCGAAGGTGTTGCGAAGGCCAGCCATGCCTCCCACACAGCTGCCCAGGCTGGGCTTCCTGACAAGCTTGTGGCTCGTGGCAAGGAGGTGATGAGATCCAAATGTGCAACCACCTCCACATCAGAGCTCCCTTTCATTCCTAGTCCTACTGGGCCTGGGTCTAGGTCCACAGGATTTCTGACCCTTATTTCCCCTTCTCTTCCCCACTCCCCTTACTCCTCCCACCTTCTTGCTTGTTCCTAGGTCTCAGACTTGATCCGCAGTGGAAAACCCATCAAGCCTGTCAAGGATTTGCTAAAGAAGAACCAAATGGAAAAGTGCGTATATGGCCCCAGTGTCTTTACCCTCTCTGCATCTTCTCCTGCAACTCTTCTCCCCTTTTCAGGGACTCAGCCTTCCTCCAGCACTTTGCCCTTCAGAAACCCACCATTTCTTTCTGAAATCCCTAAATCTTCAAGATCCCAGGTTTTCTGTGCCACAGCCTCTCCCCTCTGCCCAGGGATTTGGTTGTCCATTCTGCCATAAATCTTGCGATTTTCTCTCTTCTTCAGTTGCCAGACATTAGTGGATAAGTTTATGAAACTGGATTTGGAAGATCCTAACCTGGACTTGAACGTTTTCATGAGCCAGGAAGTGCTGCCTGCTGCCACCAGCATCCTCTGAGAGTCCTTCCAGTGTCCTCCCCAGCCTCCTGAGACTCCGGTGGGCTGCCATGCCCTCTTTGTTTCCTTATCTCCCTCAGACGCAGAGTTTTTAGTTTCTCTAGAAATTTTGTTTCATATTAGGAATAAAGTTTATTTTGAAGAAAGATATTGTTTCTTTAGTCTCAAAACAAGAGACTAGGAAAGATCCAAAACACAGAGCAGGAGTCCACAGGGGAACCTGCCCTGCCTCAGTAAAAATACAGTGTTGTTGCTGTAGGAAGACTCCCGGATTCTACCCCAGGATACTTCATGAGAACGAACCCCTTCAGAGAGGCCCTACAAAACAGATTAGAGGGAAGACAGAGGGGTCCAAGGGAGATGGTCTCTCTTCTCAAGTAGGAACACCCCAGCCTCAGACAGACACAGCAGGAAGGGGCCTGAGAGGCTGACAGAGGCAGGATGGGTGCAAGGCAGGGGTGGAGGGGAGGGACCAGCCCGGGCTGCACCAGTGGGAGTGGCTCCACCCTTCCCACCTCAGAGCCATGGGGAGCCAGGGCTCTGGCGGGGTGCCCTTGGTGCAGGCTCCCTACACAGTCCTGCTGCTGCCGCTGGGGACAAGCCGCCAAGACCCAGGGGCCCAGAGCTTCTTCCTTTGGGTGAGTATCAGCCCAACAAGAGGTCCCAGGGGAACTCTCTCAATAGATCTGCCCTTTATATTTCCATTCAACTTGAGGGCCCACAGTGTTCCCGCCTGCCTCCCCTTGCCCTCCAGGTCCTCAGTGGCCAGTCTGGGTTCACACTCAGTGACCACACAGTGAACCCAACTAGGGGTGGAGAGAAAGGGCCATAACCCAGAGCCCTACTGTGGCGTGAGAGTCAGCCTCTGTGATTGCCTTTCCCAGCTACGCAGGATGCAGGCTCTGGAGAGAGAACAGGATGCCCTGTGGCAGGGTCTGGAGCTGCTACAGCATGGCCAGGCCTGGTTTGAAGACCATCTGAGGGAGGCACAGCGACAGCAGCTGCATCTAGGGGCCCTTGGTGAGGTATGGGGGCTGCCCCTCTGTGTGAATGGGGGGAGGACCAGGGAGGGAGGAACAGGGAATGTGTAGACACAGCCTGAGACCACTCTGGAGAGGGGAGAGTTAATGGTCAGGGATCATGAGTTGGAGGCAGCATCGTAATGACAGGATGCCACCAAGTGTTAAGTTGGTGTTCATTGTTGGGGCTGGAGGAAGCTGGTCTGCATTCCATTCAGAGGGATTTGGATCACTCCATGGAGATGAGGGTGTGGCCTGGATTATTCCAATGGGGCAGGGATGGACAGGGAGGCTCCATGAAGAGTAGTGAAAGGGGGTATTGTGCTATTTGAGGGAGATGGAGGAACTGATGTGCTAAAGAGATGGAGGTGGAGAGTACTGGATTTTCCCACCTGCCTGGGAGGGTACTGGGACGAGGGGATCCAGATGAGAGGGATGGCCTGTGGTGACAGGAATAGAGTGGCAGACGACCTCAGGTTTTCACCATGTTGTCAGCCTCCAACTCCTCCTCTAGAATTTTCTAACAGATTTACACTCAGAGCCTGGTCGCCCCCCGTTAGCCCAGATTCAAAAGGTGAACATCTGTTTGCAGAATCTGATTCATGAGAAGGTGAGTTTATTGTTTTCAGTTTAGACTTTTGGGAAGTTGGACTAGAGAGGGGAGTTGTTGGGGTCAGTGCTGGCTTAACAGAAAACACAGCGAATTTCCCCTCCAGTTCTCCCCAAGTCCACTGAACAAGGCTAGTTCCTGCACCACCCAGGATTCAAAGGAAAGACGAAGGGAGCAGAACTTGTGGCAGCAACAGGTAAACTTCAAGAAGGAGGGCAGGAGCCCCACCCTACAGGGCTGGGAGGAGCCCAGAGGCCCCATCTGTTTCTCCTCCAGGAGTTGTCAAGGCAGCAGAAAGGAGTCACCCAGCCAAAGGAGGAGATGGCTCAGCGGGGCTGCACCAAGGGGCCAAGAGGCCCTACCCGTGTCTAAACCCTCCTCTCACTCCCCTAAGCCTGGTGAAAGAGTCAGAAGCCCCAGGCTCCTTTTTCTGTTTCTTAACTCAACAGCTAAAAAATGGCTCCAGGTAGTGAGTCAATGAAGTTCAGACATGTTGGTGTAAAGTTTCTCCTCTGCTCCTGAAAACTTCATCTTCTTGGTGTCTCATGTCCTCATTCTCCCCTATATGACATGCAAAAACGATCTTTCTTTGAAATCCCTCTGGGAAGAAGCATGTTTATTGAAACTGTCCTTCAGCCTTAAATACAAAAATAAAACTGAAACTGCTCCAGAAAGCAGCTTTCTCCAAAAATGTCTTTGGTTTGTTTCTCATAGGGTTAGGAAAAGTGCATTGTGGGAATATCCATTGCCCTCTATCCCAGTCTTGCAGGGTGTTTTGTTTTGTTTTGTTTCTGAGATAGGGTCTCACTGTCGCTCAGGCTGTAGTGCAGTGGTTCGACCACAACTCACTGCAGCCTCAACCTCCTGGGCTCAAGTGATCCTCCTGCCTCAGCCTCCCAGAGTGCTGGGATTACAGGCGTGAGCCACTGCACCCAGCCCCAGTCTCGAAGTTTCTAAGAAAGGAAAGGGATGTGATGGAGAAAGAAAACCTTCATTGGCTGGGCACGGTGGCTCACGCCTGTAATCCCAGCACTTTGGGAGGCCGAGGCAGGCAGATCACCTGAGGTCAGGAGTTTGAGACCAGCCTGGCCAACATAGTGAAACCCTGTCTCTACTAAAAATACAAAAAATTAGCCGGGCGTGGTGGCGGGCACCTGTGATCCCAGCTACTTGGGAGGCTGAGGCAGGAGAATCGCTTGAACCTAGGAGGCAGAGGTTGCAGCGAGCCGAGATTGCGCCGCTGCACTCCAGCCTGGGCAATGAGCAAAACTACATCTCAAAAAAAAAACAACAACAACAAAAAAGAGAAAACCTTCATCCCAGCTAGGAGAGGTAAGGTCCTAAGACCTATGTGACAAATGTGTCCCAGGTCTTCTTACCAATGGGGCAGGTTGAAAATAGTGCTGGAGACCCATCCCTTTAGAGCCCGTTGTGTCACCAGGAGGCCAGGCCTAGCAGAAGCAGCACCCCTCCAACTGTGCCCCACCAGGGGCTGCCCGCAGCCAGCCCTGCCCCAGCCCTGCCTTGAGTCACCAATGTGAAGGGGGAAAAGGCAGGGGTGGCCGTGGTGAGGATCGGGTCAGATGAGCCGGTAGGGGTGGTGTGCCGGTCCTGTGGGGAAAAGGAAGAGAATGACAGGGTGTGCTAGAGCTGTACTCAAATTAAACCTACACCACCCTCCCCGGCCTTGCCCACCCTGTGATGGAAAGTAGTGGTTCCTCACCTGCGGGGCTGGGGCCGATACCAGGAGCCGGAGGAAAGCATGAGTCGGGGGTACTGGGTTGGCTTCTCGTCCCCCTGCAGTCACAGTCACCATCACCACGGAATCCGGGGCCGCTGAATCTGGGACCTCCAGCCACAGGCGGCCCCAGGCCGACTCATTCAGTTCCAGGTGAGCCCTGGAGAGAGGATATAGGCGTCGCTAAAGCTCCAGGCTGCCCAGAGCCTAGAGTCGGGACGCCTGCAGGGGCACGGGAGCGGAGAGGAGGATTCTGAGGGCCAGTCGGAGGGGGACAGGGGCAGGGCTTGGGATAAGCATTGGCCGGGCAAGATGCCAGAGGGAGCTGGAGGGTTCATGAGCCTCACCTGGAGAGGTTGGAGGTGAGGGAGAAGCTGGGGTTGACGAAAGTCCTAAGGTCAAGATCCTGAGGGCCCGAGAAGCTGGCGATGCGGAGACTGAGCGGGACTTTGCTGCCCGGGGCCAAGAAACCCGAGGGGCCACTAAGCTGCAGAGAAGGGTTCTTCAGGGAAGGGGCCGCTCTAACTCTCTCCAGCCCCAGCCGCACTTTCCCCTGGCGTCTCACCTCCAGAAGGACAGGGACTACAGTGCTAGGCTGAGGGGCAGCCCTGTGCAGGCGCCGCCCCGCTGCGTCCTGGCCAATCAGCTCCAGGGAGAAGGGTCTAGGGGTGGACAGCAGCGTGGGCGACAGCGAGGCTGCGAGGAGACCTCGCTCCGGAGGTCCCACGGGCTCCAAGGGCACCTGGCCTAGTTCGGCACCCTCTGGGACCCCTCGAAGGATGACGTGGGAGAAATGCGGCTGAGGATCCCCAGGATTGGCTCTGGAACCCAACCCTGTCACTTCTACCAGCAGCTGGGTCTGAAGACCTGGGACAGGGGCGAGGAGGGGAGAACATTGTGAGATTCGGAGACACAGGGAGAAAAGAATTAATGGCCTTCAAAATAGGGGTTCCCTCTGGGGAGTATGGATGGGAAAATAGGTTACCTTCGAGGGGTATTGATGGGGAGCATCAGGAGGGAGTTCTGGGGTGCTGGAAATGTTCTATATCCTGAACTGGGTGTATTATATGAAATCCATCAAACTGTACACTTTAGTGCACATTATGTAAATTATAACTCAATATAAAAGTTATGCATATGCACAGATGTATGTATACATATATACATTATATATATAATATATATATTATATATTATATATTTTATATATATATATAAAACTGGGGGTTAGGTGGGTGGGGGCTCAGGGAATAAATGTACCTGCAACTGGCTGAGTCAGGGGGTAGAGGCCAGGGTGGGGTCCATCCTCCATGGGGATCCCAAAGTGGAAGAGGAAGTCCAGGGAGGTCTGGGCTGGGAAAGGGCAAAGGCAGTCAGAGCCCTTCCTGAAAGGAATGTGACTGATCGTGTTCTCTGAGGCCTGCAGTCTCTGCTTCCCCTTCCCAGGAACACCTCCCTCCTTACCTTGCACTCTCACCCCAGGGGTGTCCTCAGCTGTGACCTGGATCTCCCAGGTTCCTGTCTGTGGAGGGTCATCCATGGTCACCATCCAGAACTGCCCAAAGCGGCGAGTGTGACCTAGAGGACCCCCGCCTTCCTCCTGGCCCTGGGAGACCCCTGGGGTCAGGGAAGAGATTGTCACATGAAGCACTTGCTCTCCTTGAGTACATCCCCTCGATTGTCTATTCCCCGGTCCCCTCTCTTCCCTCTACCTTCAGAGGTACCTGCAGGGTTCTTGATCCAGAAGCTGCTGATGTCTCCGTGGATCCGGACTGTGATCTTCTGGAGCAGCCCATCCACGCTGAACACAAGTGGCTGCCCAGGCACCACAACAGGAGGGTCCAGGGGAAGAGTCACCTTGAGGGATTGGCAGGACCAGAAAATGGGGAAGAAGATGAGGTATGGGATGAGGAACAAAGAAGAAAGGGGAGATAGAAAGAAACCACGTCATTGGGCCGGGCGCAGTTGGTCACGCCTGTAATCCCAGCACTTTGGGAGGCTGAGGCGGGTGGATCACAAGGTCAAGAGTTCGAGACCAGCCTGGCCAACACAGTGAAACTACATCTCTACTAAAAAAAAAAAAATACAAAAAATTAGCCAGGTGTGGTGGTGGGCTCCTGTAATCCCAGCTACTTGGGAGGCTGGAGCAGGAGAATCGCTTGAACCCAACAGGCAGAGGCTGCAGTGAGCCAAGATTGTACCATTGCACTCCAGCCTGGGCGACAGTGCAAGACTCTGTCTCAAAAAAAAAAAAAAAAAAAAAAGAAAGAAAAAGAAAAAAGAAAGAAACCACGTCAAACAGGCAGAAAGGGATACCAGTAAGAGAGGGGCACGGGGCCAGGGATGAAGTTATTATGGTCAGAGACAAAGTTGGAGGCAAGGGATTCAGGATGAGACAATCACATCTTGTGCCCCATTAAAAGATGATAGGCCAGGCGTGGTGGCTCATGTCTGTAATCCCAGCACCTGGGAGACCAAGGCAGGAGGATCACTTGAGGCCAGGGGTTCAAGAACAGCTTAGTCAATATAGCAAGACTCTGTCTCTGCAAAATACAAGCCACCTCCCCAAAAAGATGGTAGGACTTCCTGTGGTAACCCTGGAGGCAGAATACTGGAAGCCAAGTGGGGAGAGGTTTACTGATATAAAAGGACAATGCAGGCCAGGCGTGGTGGCTCGCGCCTGTAATCCCAGCACTGTGGGAGGCCAAGGTAGGCGGATCACTTGCGGTCAGGAGTACGAAACCAGCCTGGCCAAAAAAACGGTGAAACCCCGGCTCTACTAAAAAAATACAAAAATTAGCCAGGCCTGGTGGTGGGCACTGGTAACTCTAGCGACTTGGGAGGCTGAGGCAGGAGAATCCCTTGAACCCGGGAGGTGGAGGTTGCAATGAGCCGAGATTGTGCCACTGCACTCCAACCTGGGTGACCATAAGACTCCATCTCAAAAAAAAAAAAAGAAGTGGCTAGTCATGGATCTAAGAGGAAGAGAAACTTCCTTTCCTGCCCCGTGACTGGAAGAACAACACAGCAGTGAGAGTGATTCCCCTTTCTCCTATAAGAAGAGAGGTGCAGCCTGACCACCCTTCAGTTCCTAAGTGAGGGCCCTGGCCCCCACTTACCAGGGCAGCCATGCTCTCCCCAACAATGGCTGCCACGTCTCGAATGTGCTGGTCTTTGGTGAAGATCACCTCTCCTCCTGAGGCCAGGGCCACTGCTTTGTATGGCTCAAAACGCAGAGGGGACAAGATCTCACGCCGAGCTCGACCCTGAACCCTTGATGTATCTTCAGTCACCAGGAATGTTACCTGTACCCAGAAGAGAGCTCAGTGATTGGGGTGTCCAAGTGCCATCCACTATTATGAATGAGAATCCCTGTGCTCAAGCTTTCTCCAGAGCTGATGGTTTGTGATAAGGTCTCTGCCTGCCTTCTGGCTGCTGGGGTGGGGAATCCCAATGACAGAACCCCCTGCCTTCAGTTAGTAGTTGGCCACCCCCTTGTAACTGTCACAGTGGATTTTTGGCGACTAGAGCCCCAGTTCTTCACATTGTTTATTAGGCAGGGTCAAATAAAAATTCAGCGTTATTAAGGGTAGGGCCTCTTACGTATATCATTAAAGGTATCAGGAAATGTTCCACTCATTGTCTGCTTCTCCCACCATATACCAAGGCTTGTTGGGCCACCATAGTGTGGTGCAACCCTCGTTATGAGATTGTCATCACAGGGTCTCTCACATCCCTGGGAGGCTAACACTGGGTCTCCCACTAGCTCTGCTCACCCGGCAGCGCCGCTCCTGAGTCAGGGATTCCACCTGGTTGGTGAGAAAGGCATCCTTGGGGGAGGCATCCGTGAAGACAAAGATATCTGAGAGTGGAGGTGTGTGCAGCAGGGCCAGCTGGCAGGGAAGGCAACGACCAGTGTTAACAATGGCAGTAGGAGGGGAATGGGTAGAGCCACGGAGGATGAAGCAGAAGGGAATATGGCCCGGGAACCCTACAGTGAAGCTAGTGGATCTAGGTGCTGAAGGTGGTGGGGAGCCCCAGGAGGGATCTAGCTCCCCCTGGTGGTGGGGCCAGGAAACGGGGAAGAAGGGAGGGGCCAGACCTGCAGGGCTGACAGGCACATCTCAGGCTCGTCTCCACCCCCCAAGGCATGGATCTCATTAAGCTGTTGCCAGAAGCTGTCAGGGTCACTGGTTGTAAAGACAGGGCCGAACCCTGGGAAGGGGAAAGGAGGTTAAGATAAGTGAGGAAAGAGCTCCCCTCATTCTTACCCAGAGCCACCTCCCCAGTTGAGGGGCCTGGTGTGCTTCTGGAGCCGACAGGTATTGAAATAACAATACTCCATTATAAGACTCATACTTGGCCGGGTGCGGTGGCTCACACCTGTAATCCCAGCATTTTGGGAGGCCAAGGTGGGTGGATCATGAGGTCAAGAGATCAAAACCATCCTGGCCAACATGGTGAAACCTCGTCTCTACTAAAAAATATAAAAATTAGCTGGGCATGGTGATGCATGCCCGTAGCCTCCCCAGTAGCCTCCCCAGAGGCTCCCCAGTAGCCTCCCCAGCTACTGGGGAGGCTGAGGCAGGAGAATCACTTGAACCCGGGAGGCAGAGGTTGCAGTGAGCCGAGATCGTGCCGCTGCACTCCAGTCTGGCGACAGACTCCATCTCAAAAAAAAAAAAAAAAAAGTCATACTTGTCAGTGCAGGGCGGGGCAGGGCGGGGCAGGGCAGGGCAGACCTAGGTGTCCCTGGTGGGAAGGTGGCCTCCACTCCCTGAAAAAAATGGTGGCATTTCCTGTAGGCCTTTATTGGCTACATGTGCGTATATAAAAAAAAAATGGTCACACCTATTATCCCAGCACTTTGAGAGGCTGAAGTGGGAGGATCACTTGAGCCCAGGAGCTCGAGATCAGCCTGGGTAACATAGTGAGACCCCATCTCTACAAAAAAATACAAAAATTAGCCAGATATGGTGGTGCTCATCTGTAGTCCCAGCTACTCAGGAGGCTGTGGCAGGAGGATTGCTTGAATCGAGGCTGCAGTGAGGCATGATTGTACCATTGCACTCCAACCTGGGTGACAGAGTGAGACTCTCCCTCTCTCTCTCTCAAAAAAAAAAAAAAAAGAAAGAAAAGAAAAAAAAAAACTGGGTTTCCTCATAAGAAAAGAGACCGAATAGCACTTACCTCAGAGGTTTATTGGGAGGACTAAATGAGTTGATTTTGCAAATCTTAAGATAGTGCTTTGACACATAAGTGCTAAGTTCTTAGTTATACCTTTATTTATATCTTCATCAAACATAATAAGTCTATTAAATGCCAGCCACTGTAGGATGTATGCAGGCAAATAAGACTCAAATTTAGGCAACTCTCAGTCCAGTAGGCATTTTATTTGATCATCATTTCAACTCTGGGAGTTAGGCAGGATGAGGGAGGTGTCAGGCCTCTGAGCCCAAGCTAACCAATCATATCCCCTGTGACTGGCACTTATACATCCAGATGGCCTGAAGCAACTGAAGATCCACAAAAGAAGTGAAAATAGCCTTAACTGATGACATTCCAACATCCTGCCCCACCCTGATGTGATAACTGATACCCATTTTACAGATGATGAAATCGAGGCAAAGAAAGTTTACATGACCAGCCTAAAGACACACAGTCAGACTCAAGCCAGAGAGTCTAACTTCTAATCAATGGAAAAGGAATACAATGTAGCTAGTTATCTCAGATGCTTCCCAGAAGCCTGGCCCCAACAACCCCATCTTGATACCAATCTCTGTCTATAGGAAATGGAGAGAATTGAAAATGGCGGCCGGGCACGGTGGCTCACACCTGTAATCCCAGCACTTTGGGAGGCCGAGGCGGGCGGATCACGAGGTCAGGAGATGGAGACCATCCTGGTTAACACGGTGAAACTCCGTCTCTACTAAAAATACAAAAATTAGCCGGGCGTGGTGGCGGGCGCCTGTAGTCCCAGCTACTCAGGAGGCTGAGACAGGAGAATGGCGTGAACCCGGGAGACGGAGCTTGTAGTGAGCCGAGATCGCGCCATGGCACTCCAGCCTGGGCGACAGAGCGAGACTCCGTCTCAAAAAAAAAAAAAAAAAAAAAAAAAAGAAAATGGTTTATTAGCATGAAAGCCTAAGAAAGCAGAGGCCACGTGCCAAAGCATGAATCATGCATTAAACTCATGGAAAGTGCTGCCATTTTAGAAAGAGTGGGAGGCAAGTCTGCTAGTTATCTTTTTTTTTTTTTTTAGAGACAGGGTCTCACTGCGTCACCCAGGCCGCTCTGGAGTGCAGTAGTGCCATCACGGCTCACTGCAACCTCAGTCTCCTGGGCTCAAGTGATCCTCCTGCCTCAGCTTCCCAAGTAGCTGGGACTATAGGCATGTGCCACCACACCCACACATAATTTTTATTAATTTTTTTGTAGAGACCTGTGTTTCTCTGTGTTGCCCAGGTTGGTCTTGAAATCCTGGGCTCAAACGATCCACCCACCTCTGCCTCCCAAAGTGCTGGGATTACAGGTGTGAGCCACCCCACCCAGGTTGCTGCTAATTTTCTGTATGCACACAGTAGAGGCTCACTCGGGACTACAGGAAGTGCCACCCCGAGCCCACTTCCTCACCACAGGCCTTTATCCCTTACCTTTTTATCTTTTCTTTTTTTTTTCTTTCTTTTCTTTTTTTTTTTTTTTTTTTTTTTTTTTGTGACAGAGCTTTTTGCTCTTGTTGCCCAGGCTGGAGTGCAAAGGCACGATCTCGGGGCTCACCGCAACCTCTGCCTCCTGGGTTCAAGCGATTCTCCTGCCTCAGCCTCCCGAGTAGCTGGGATTATAGGTGCCCACCACCACGCCCGGCTAATTTTGTATTTTTAGTAGAGACGGGGTTTCTCCATATTAGTCAGGCTGGTCTCAAACTCCCGACCTCAGGTGATCCACCTGCCTCAGCCTCCCAAAGTGCTGGGATTACAGGCGTGAGCCACCACGCCCAGTCTATCCCTTACCTTGAATTTTCCTCCCCTCTACTGTCCTAGCCAGACCACACTTACCTGGGTCATGAAAAGGCACCAGGACATAGTGGACAGGCTCCATGGGGCTGCCTCTCCGCTGCTCCACAAGGTGGCGAGCCTGGATTTTGGCAGCGTTGATCTCCTCACCCATGCTGCCCGTGGTGTCCAGGACAAAGCTCAGGCTGGAGGCTGGGGTGATGTCCAGCAGCCTGGGGAGCAAGCCAGAGACACAGTGAAGGGCCTGCACGTTTGTCCCCAGCGCCTGGTTTCTCCCTTCCCGCAGGAGCGCCTCCCCATGAAGGGGTCCATCCCCAGGAGGCCACTCACCTGGAGAAATCCCTGTCTCCCAGGCGGCTTCGCAGAAGGCTGAAGGCCTGGATGGAGGCTAGAAGGGCCAGTTTTGCAGCCTGGAGGTGCAGCATGTGGTGAGGGGAGAAGCCTGGGGATGTGCTGTCCTTGTTGATGCCTCCCCTCGGTGGCTGGGAGCTGCTCCGGTCAAAATGGCCCCCGTGGCTACATTTCCCTGGGTTGGGGAAAGGGATCTGGAGAGTGGAGGTCAAAAACCCACTGCCTCCTAAGAAAATGAGGCCCTTTCAGGCCTGGCCTGACCCTCTCACCCCTCAGCAAGGGTTCAGCAAGAAATGATGACGGGGTTGGCGCGGTGGCTCACGCCTGGAATCCCAGCGCTTTGGGAGGCCGAGGCCGGCAGATCATCTGAGATCAGGAGTTCAAGACCAGCCTGGCCAACATGGTGAAGCTCTGTTTCTACTAAAACTATAAAAATTAGCCAGGTGTGGTGGCGCGTGCTTGTAATCCCAGCTACTTAGGAGGCTGAGGAAGGAAAATAGCTTGATCCCAAGAGGCGGAGGTTGCAGTGAACCGAGATCACGCCACTGCACTCCAGCCTGGGTGGCAGAGCAAGACTCGGTCTCAAAAAATAAATAAATAAATAAATGATGGCTGGGCATGGTGGCTCACACCAGTAATCCCAGCATTTTGGGAGGCTGAGGTGGGTGGATCACCTGAAGTCAGGAGTTTGAGACAAGCCTGGCCAACATGATGAAACCCTGTCTCTACTAAAAGTACAAAATTAGCCGGGCGTGGTGGCACATGCCCGTAATCCCAGCTACTCGGGAGGCTGAGGCAGGAGAATCGCTTGAACCTGGGAGGCGGAGGTTGCAGTGAGCCGAGATCGTGCCACTGTACTCCAGCCTGGGCAAAAAGAACAAAACTCCATCTCAAAAAAAAAAAAAAAAAAAAAGGATAAAAAGGATGGTGCTTTGTGGAGGGGAATTCTGGAGTAAATCTTAGGGCGTGGTGGTCAGTCACCACAGCACATGGTGGATCCCCTGATCCCTCCAGCCAGTCCCCCAAAACTGCCTATGACAAGGGAGAAATCCTATCAGCGGAGGAAGAAGTTGCTCCCCTACCTCAACCCCACCACAGCCTCCTCAGGGGACTTTCCTCCACCCACCCTGTTCCCAGCATCCTCTCCTCCTAGGAGGAGATGCCATAGCAAAGGCATACGGGCCTACAGGACAGAGATCCTGTAAGGGAATGACTTTCTCCCCTTACTTCTGGGGAACTTTCTTGTCTGGTACCTGGAGGTTTCGGGGGATGAGTTCCAAAGTAGCCAGAGGTGAGGAGTGTGAAGCCCAGCCAATTCCTGGGGCAGCTCAACTCCTCGCAATCGGAGCAGGTAGGATCGGCCACTGGGAAGAGAGGGCAGGGCTAGAACCCAAGATTCTGCCACCCCCAGCCTTTATCCCCACCCACCCAAACCTTTTCAGCTTCTCCTCCCAGCTGGGATGAGGCGAACACCCAGAAGTTCCCTAGCAAAGCTTTCTGAACTAAAACCTAGGATCATGGGCCCGCAGTGAGCCTGAATGTTTGAAACTAGGGCTGTGCTGGAAAACACAGCACAGGCTGGGTGCGGTGGCTCACGACTGTAATCCCAGCACTTTAGGAGGCTAAGGCGGGCAGAGCAGCCTGCGCCACACAGTGAGACCTCATCTCTAAAAAATAAATACATAAATAAATAATAAGAAAAAAACAAACACAGTACGTGTAGGGACCAATCCTATGGGGATTATGCCCTCTGTGAGTTGTGGACAGGAGGCAGCTTCCAGGTGAGAGGGTGAGGGGGCTGTGAGAGAAGGCCCCATGGGAGTCAGTGCGGGGAGGAAGCCACACTTAAGACGGGACTGAGGTCTGGAGACCTGGTCCTAGCTACTTTTCCCTGTGTGACCTTGGGGAAGCTGCTTAACTGAGCCAGGCGTTGCTTGGACTGGGGGACCTCAGTCCTTGTGGAGATTAAGTAACATCATACCCTCTGGGACTTCAGAATGTGACACAGTGGCTGGGTGGACTGAGGTGGCCCTGTGGACTCCTGCCTCACCACCAGGGTCACAGCCATACCTTGTGCCAGGTTCTGGAGCTCCTGCCTTGGCCAGAGGAGGTGAGGGTGTGGCTGCTGCTCGCCCAGCTCCACCCAGTTGCTATGACTGTAGAAATCCTGGTCCGGAGGACAGGAGAAGGGGAGTGAGGCACTAGTCTGGCCTTTCTCACCATCTCCAGCACTAATATGCCACTCCTTTGAGTTCCCCATCCCGAAAGTCCCCTCCCACCCCTACTGCTCCCACCAGACACCCCAAGTCCCCTCCACTGCCCTCTCTCCATTGCTCAGAGCAGAGCTTTGCCCAGGTGGAAACTGTCCCAGCATCTCTTCCCAGCTCAGAGTCTAACCCAAGGCCTCTCTCGGCCTGCAGAGTCCTGCTGCGTGTGCTGCTCCCTCAGCTCTCTGACCTCGCAGCCTTCCTCTCTCACCCTCACTTCTCTCCAGCCACAGCGCCCTCCTTGCTGTTCCTACAGGAAGCACTGCCAGCTTGGAGGTGGGGAACTGGGACACAGCCTCGGGGCACCGCGTGCCAGTGCCCACCCCTTCCAGAGTGGAGGAGACATGATCAAGAAGGCACCATAGGACGCGCTCCATCCCGGACAGGCACGGAAGTGAAGACCCCTCTGACCATCAACCCAACCCTGTTCTCACCTGCAGGGCATGAAGTGCAGCCCCGAGGCGCTGGCGAGCCAGGGTGTGGTCAAGGGCCCTGGCTGCCACCACGGTCTCCCGCAGAGCCCCTACCAGGCGCGCGCGTCCCTGACCCAGTCGCTCAGCATCAAAGTGCAGGTCGGGGTCATTCCTGGAAGTTGGCAGGAAGTCCTGGGCTGCATTGGCACGAGACACCTCACCTAAGGCTGCTCGGAACCGCCGAGAAGAACCAGGTCCAAAGTAGGCGGCAAAGAGGTCATCAGCAAGGAGTGTTCGACCCTGGGGAGAATAGCGGGCGACGGGGCTCCAGGGAGGCCCTTTGGATTGACTGTTGCCCACCTTATCTCAGCAACTGACACTCAAGGCTGGGTATGAGGGTCCTGAGCCCCACAAAGGAGGGACAGTCCCGGACCTTTCTAAGGAGGGGGACTCCTAATTTCAGGACCAAGACTACTGGGTATTATTGCTGCAGGGGTGGGGCCATGGGTGTCTCTTCTCTTGGCAACCAGAGCCCTCAAGGAGTAGAGGCCCCATGGAATTGGGGACTCTGGCAGGGGTGTGACAGGACCCTGGGATGCTCACCAGGAAGTCCTCAAGACGAAGAGGGGGGCGGCCTGGGGGTGGCTGCTCCAGGAAGAGCTGCAGGGTGACGTTGAGCGCTGCCTCCTCAGTTAGGTCTTGGTGGGTGATGGAGCCAGGGGCAGCCAGCAGGCTCCAGATGTTGGGGAAGAAGGCAGATGTGGGGGGCAGCAACAGCTGCAGCAGAAGCAACGCTGAGGGGCCCGGGTGGGATTGGGGGACCTCCGTGGGGAGCATGGCTGAGACATGGACCTGGGAGACAGAAGGCTCTCAAGGGAGGAGGAAGCAGCCGCGATTCCAGGGCAGGCCGGCTCTGCGGGTCTCCATGGGAACCTGCTTTACCTCAAAAGTCGTGTCTGCTCCAGCCTGGCTTCCCCACCCTCTCGCTGTCACCCAGACAACCTGAGGGCCTCATCGGACCATTAGGGACATACACACCTGCCAGGAGAGGGGTCCAAGGTTCCTCCCCCACGCCCCCCTCCCCAGTCCCTGGCTGCGTCCCCAGCCCTGCCGCAGAAACACTCCCCATGCTCAGGAAGCCTGAGTCCTCTCAGGCCCTCCCCTACCTGGTTGCTGGGTCTCCTGGGCAGGGCTGGCCCGGGCTTGACGTCACAGGGCACTTAGGTCAGAGTTATAATTAACCGAGGCTCAGCAGAGGGGGAGGAAGGCCTCAACAGGGTGGGGGAGGACAGGCAACCCCTGGCCCTTTCGCTCCTGCCTGCCCAAAGCCACAGGCAGCAGCCCACGCCAGGGCGGGCCTCCCTTGGCTGCAGTGCGGAGGTGAGTGAGAGCTGGGGAGGAGGAAGGGAGTAAGCAGCGTGACTCAGGCCTGGCACAGTGCCAGGGACAGACCCAGATAGACGCACCCCTCTGCCCTCCAGAACCAGGGCCTCACTCCCACCCTGCAGCCCCCAAGGATTCAGGCACCCAGCCCCTCTGCTCCCCTCTCTGCCCCCACCACAGATGACAAGAGGATTTTGTGGGAAAATATTTTATTGCTGCCATCCCCATGGTGAGCCGCTGGGGGTGAGGGGTGAAGCTGGGTGGTGGATCACAGCATCTTCTGGAATAGGGCGATGGCCTCATCCACCTTCCTGAGCTCTGCTTCTGTCTGTTGGAGCTGGAGTGGAACCAGGGGGTGGGTGAGGACCCAGGTCCAAGTGAAGAGACCCCCAAACACCCAGGACAACAAAGTTGGAAAGATGAGCGAGGACCATGGGAGGTCAGTAGCTCAGAGGAGGCGTGAACCTGGCTGGCCTGGCTCCCCACCCATTCCCACCAGCACCCCCACTTCCACCACCACCTCTTGGGTCTTGCCTTTTTCCACCAAGTGGTGAGTCCCCAAGAACAAAGGAACCTCAGAGCCTACGTGTTCCCCATTCAGTGTCCCCACCTAAGCAGGAGAGCACAGTCTCCCAGGCCGGTCACTTCATTTGTCAGATGATGATGATGATATTGCCCCCCTCCCAGGGCTCTTGGGAGAACCAAGTGAGATTAACCACGTCCACTCAAGGCTCTCTAGCTCTTGGCCTCCATGACTGGTTTTCTCTGTGTCTGTGCAGTTTACTCCACTGCTTCTCTCTGGCGGAACCCAGGAGGCAGGGGACAAACAAGACTGGCCTTCCAGGGTCAGCCCAGTAGGCTTGAAAGTAAGTGGTGGGAGGCCCAGGGCTCCCCGACTACATGTGGACCCCAAGCCCAGCCCCAGGCATGCAGGTTTCCACATTTTGGGCAGCTGGGTGGGGTACGAAGGGTCTGGCTGGGAGATAGGATGCCTGGTTCTAGGTCAGCCTCCGTCTCCCACCTGTTGTGTGACCCTGGGTTGTGCCCAGCCCCCAGCTGCTCCCCATGTGTAAGGGGAGGGCCTTCTATGGTCCCTGCTCAAAGCGCCTGGGCTCCATGCTCCCCAGTGGATTCCCCAGGGTTGGGTACAGAGTCCAGCTTCCAGACCAGGATTGGTTTTTGTTTTGTTTTGTTTTTTTTCCAGACAGGGTCTTCTCTCTGTTGCCCAGGCTCAAGTGCAGTGGCATGATCTCGGCTCACTGCAGTCTTGACCTCCCAGGCTCAAGCAATCCGCCCACCTCAGCCCCCCGAGTAGCTGGGACCCCAAGTGTGTGCCACTATGGCCAGCTAATTTTTGTATTTTTGTTGTAGAGATGGGATTTCACCATGTTGGCTGGTCTCAAACCCCTGGGCTCAAGTGATCCACCCACCTTGGCCTCCCAAATTTCTGGGATTACAGGTGTGAGCCACTGAGCCAGGCTGTTTTGTTTTTTAAGGCTAGTGGGAGTGGAGAAGGAACAAAGAAATCTGTAACTGGTTACGATCAATTAGTTGTCAACACCACTGCACTCGGACCAGCCCAGACCAGGGTTTTGATGGAGGAAGGGGATGGTGTGGGAAATGCCCACCCAGGCCACACACCTTGGCTTCATCTGCCTCCTGGACTTCGAGCGGCACCTTGACAGGATAGCCCGAGGCAGCACGGCGTTCCCGCAGACGCTGGGCCTGCCGCTGGGCCTCAACTCGCTTGGCTTGCAGCTTGCCCAGCTCCCGTGCAGGGTCCACCAGCCCCTGAAGCTGCAGGTGGATGGAGCAGCGATCAGAAGCCAGAGCCACAGCGCAACCCTGGGGGGCGGGAGCCCCCAGGGCCAGAACAGCCACCACACCTGCGCTGGCCAGGGCCTGCACGTAGCCCGACACCGCCGATGCCAGGGCGCCCGTGGCCTCATCCGCCACTTCCAGGAAACCTGCCAGGGAGGGAGAAAGGTGAGGCCTAGCTCCATGGAGACAGGAAACCAAGCAGTCACTGCCGGACACTGGGTCCCAGAGTAGGCTGAGGGGACAGTGGGATGGGGCGGACATGGGGGCCTGAGGCTCACAGTCAGGCCGGATCCGGGTGAGGTTGTAGTCGGCCCGCAGGGAGCGCACGGCTCGCGTGATGCTTAGCGCCAGCTCAAGGGCGGCTTCTGCCTCGGGGTCCTTCCAGGAGCACTGTGGGGTGGAGGAGGGGGTGAGGGGGCCTGGAGGGCAGGTCAGACTCCCCTCTCCAGGCCATGCCATACCTCTGAGGGCTCCGGGTAGGGGGTAACACAGAGGCTAGGGGGAGCTTGCGGCATCCTCCGGGGCAGCCTCTGGAACAGCTCCTCCGTCACGAAGGGCATGAAGGGTGAGAGCAGCCGCAGGCCAACGTCCAGGCAAGTGTACAGGGTCTGGCGGGCACACTCAGCTGCCACCTGGTCCACCCCATTCAGTACAGGTTTCAGGCACTCCTAGGGGACGAGAGGTACAGGGCTCACGGCTGGAGGTCTAGCCTTGAGCCCTCGCTGTGCCTGTGAGGACTGGGAAGGGGATGGGTTGGCTTAGGTCTCAAGGCCAACTCTGGCAAAACTGAGCCCAGGGCTCTGCTGCCCACCTGCCCCCACCATCCCCTGCCCCGCTGTGCTCCTTCTCACCAAGTAGACATCACAGAGCTCATAGAGCCAGAAGCTGTACTGGGCAGTGGTGACGGCCGGGAAGTCGTAGGCCTGGAAGCCTTGATTGCTGAGCCTCACAGCCTCTGTCAGGCGGCTGCGGATCCAGCGGTCCACCAGGCTCTCATGGCCTCCGGGCTTGGGGAGAGAGGGTGTATCAGCCGGCGGGCCAGGGGAGGGTGCCAGAACCCCATGGGGGCAGGAGTCATGGGCAAATCTTCATCCAGAGTCTGATGAGTCCAAAGCAACCACCTATGTGCCAGGATCTGGGAAGAAGTGACAGGCCCCAGCCCCCAATGCGCTGGGCTTTCCCTTTAACTGTCTGTCTCTGTGTCTATCTGTCCCCCCAGCTACATGGAGGCTGCTCCGGACAGGGGTACAGCCTGTGTGAGTGCTGCCAGCTTTGCTGCCCACCAGGCCCTTACCTGGGAGGTGGGTGAGGGCACAAAACCCTTCCCAAGGCCACGAAGGGCAAACTTGGTGGCATTCCAGAGCTTGTTGCAGAAGTGGCGGTAACCCAGTATCCGGTTCACATCCAGGTTGATGTCACGACCTGGGTCGGGGGTGAGATGTGAGTCCTCATCACCCTCTTCCCAGCCCATGCCCACCAGAGGCTCAGGGTGGAGAAGAGGGATGGGCCTCACAGAAGGAGGAAGGAGTGGCTGGGAGGGACGCTTTGGGGGCCATACCCTGGGACATGTAGGCACATAATCCAAACCGGAGAGCATCGGTGCCACATTCAGGAATCCCCGCTGGGAAGTCAGCTTTCTACAGGGAAGAGGCAGGGGGAGGAGCGTCCTCAGCCAGCCCCATCCACGCTGTGCTCCTGCTTAGCCCAGCCCAACCCTCCATACCTGCCCTTCTTTGGCCTTCTCCACCTCGCTGGGATCCAGGTTGCTGTTCAGCAGCTGGTTGTGGAGGCCCTGAGGGTGGAGTGGGAGCAGTCAGGTGGCTGTGACCACAGCCCCACGGCCCTTCCTGGCTGGCCCAGCACCCAGCCCACCTGCAGGGAGATTCCATAGATGACGTCCAGGGGATCGATGACATTGCCTAGAGACTTGCTCATCTTCCGGCCGTGAGCATCTCGCACGATGGCATGGAGGTAGACCTGCAGAGCAGGTGGGGAGGCCCATGAGACTCAGTCCTCTCCTTCCCCGGCCTCAGTGCCCCGACCAGGACTGTGTCTGGTCTACCCCACTGTGAACCTCAGGTCCCACTGAGTGTCCCCAAGAGCTCGTTGAGCGCCTTTATGTGAATCAGAAGCACTCCTTCCTCTGGGAAGATGAAGCCCTGGGCACAGGAATCACTGAGCAGGGCCCAGGCTGGATTTCAACCCCACACCAGCCCCCGGGTCAGGCCTGCCCACAGCTAACCCCATGCCCCAGCCACGCGGGGTCTGCGCTGCAGCACAGGACGGTAGGAGAGGAGGCTGGGGGCGATGGGAGGGTCTCGGCTGTCTCCGCACCTCTCTAAAGGGCAGCCTGCCCGTGAGCTTCAGGCCCAGCATGACCATCCGGGCCACCCAGAAGAAGAGGATGTCATGACCGGTCTCCAGCAGTGTCCCGGGGTAGAACACACTCAGGTCTTCTGACTGAGGGCAGACCAGGGTGTGAAGGGGAGCCAACACCCACCCTCCAGTCCCCTGTCCCGCCAAGCCCCGGCCCCAGGAACACACCTGGTTGGGCCAGCCCAAAATGGATAAGGGGAAGAGGCCAGAGGAGAACCAGGTATCCAATACATCCTCATCTGAGAGAGGCCAAAGGTCAGAGGTCAGAGGGAGTGGAGCTCTGCCCCCCACAACTCCCTCCAGACCCTCAAAGCCCCGCCTTGCCTTGCTGGAGACTGATCTTGTCAGGGGACACTCCGAACTCCTTGGCTGCCTTCTCCCGGGCCTCCGCCTCATTGCGTCCACTCACCCAGTACCGCCCATCAGGGTCCTGCCACAGGTGCAGTGATTACCCAAGGGGGTGTGTCTGCTTCTGGCTCACCCTGCCCCTCCCCCCACCAAGGACCCAGTAAACCCACCACTCCAGCAGGGTGTCCCAGCAGCTAGCTCTGGCCCTCTGCTCACCTCCCCAGGGGGCACCGCTGGGTCACTGACAGTGACAAAGTAGGCTGGGATGCGATGGCCCCACCACAGCTGCCTGGAAATGCACCACTCCCTGCAAATGTCGGGGAGGAGAAATCAGGGAGGGCCTGATGGAGCCTGGCCCGAGTGAGCCCTGCTCAGCCCTCGGCAAGCCCCTCCCACACTGAGGACCCTACACACCGGATGTTGTCCATCCAGGCATGCCATGTGCGCTGATGGGCCTCAGGCAGGATGCGGAGGTCACCCCGAGTCACAGCGGCGCTGGCAGCCTGGGCCATCTCCCCGCAGCGAACGTACCACTGCGGCCGCAGCAGAGGCTCTACCACGTCCTTCGACCGGCTGGGGGTACACGTAGGTGAGAAGGCCAGGCGGTAAAACCCTGAGGAGCCCTCCATCTTCCTCCCGTCCCAGGCCCCCACCCTCACTTGCAAAGTGGCACCACCATGGGGTTGTCCTCAATGCCACGGAACAGTCCCCGCTCCTTCAGCGCCACCAGCACCGCTTTCCTGGCCTCAAACCTGGGCAGGCCCTGGGTAGGAATGAGGCCTCATCATGGCGATGCCCAGCCATCCCTCCATCTCCCTGACCCGGGCACTCTTGCCTCAGGCAGCCTCACCAGGAAAGGCGGAGGCACATTGATGAGGGCCCCCCGGGAGTCCATGATGCTGATGGCCTCCAGCCCGTGCCGCTGCCCAACTTCATAGTCATTTTGGTCATGTGCGGGGGTGATCTTCACAGCACCTGGGTGTACATCAGGATGCCCAGGTCATGAGGGACTCCACGGAGTTCCTTCCTACACTCACCTCTTTTGCTGAAGGATGTAGCTCCGAGACCACTCCTGGCCCCCACTTGTCTAATACAGTCCCTTGAGAACCACCCCAAGCTCTGTCTATTTGGCTGAAGCTTATTTTCTTTTTCTCTGAGAGAAGATGGACAGCTAGGGTGCAGCTCCAGTCTTTTCCTCTCCCCACAGGACCAGCCCCTTGCCCACCTGTGCCAAAGTCCATGTCCACAAATTCATCGAAGACAATGGGAAGGCTCCGAGACAGGAATGGGTGGATCACGTTCTTCCCCTTCAGGTGCTGGGGGCGGAAAGATACCAAAAACGCATGAAGCAGGGCCAGACGCCGTGATTCCCACCTGTAATCCCAGAACTTTGGGAGGCTGAGGTGGGCAGATCACTTGAGGCCGGGAGTTGGAGACCAGCCTGGCCAACATGGGGAAACCTAGTCTCTACTAAAAATACAAAAAAAAAATTAGCCAGGTGTGGTGACGCGTGCCTGTAATCTCAGCTACTCAAGAGGCTGAGGCACAAGTACTGCTTGAACCCGGGAGGTGGAGGTTGCAGTGAGCCAAGATGGTGCCACTGCACTCTAGCCTGGGCGATAGAGTGAGACCCTCTCTCAAAAATAAATAAATAAATAAAAGCATGAAGGGGCCTGGTGCCATGGCTCACATCTCTAACCCCCACACTTTGGGAGGCTGGGGCAGGAGGCTTCCTTGAGGCCAGGAGTTCAAGATCAGCATGGTTAACAGAGTGAGACCTTGTCTCTATTTAACTTTTTTTTTTTTTTTTGAGACGGAGTCTCGCTCTGTCACCAAGGCTGGAGTGCAGCAGAGTGATCTCAGCTCACTGCAACCTCCGCATCCCAGGTTCAAGCGATTCTCCTGCCTCAGCCTCCTGAGTAGCTGAGATTACAGGCACCCGCCACTACAACTGGCTAATTTTTTGTATTTTTAGTAGAGATGGGGTTTCACTATGTTGGCCAGGCTAGTCTCGAACTCGTGACCTTATGATTCACCTGCCTCAGCCTCCCAAAGCGCTGGGATTACAGGCATGAGCCACCGTGCCTGGCTATTTAACTTTTTAAAAATGCACGAAGGGCTGGGCCCAAGTCCTTCCTTTCCAGGGCCCTGACTATCCCAACACTTGAACTCCCCCAAACAGTCCCCAATAGCTCTACCCTCAGAGCTGGGAAAGAAGCTGAAGACCAGTTTCTAACCCAGTTTCCTCTCCTCAGCCAGGGGCCTAAGTCCAACCCCTCCACCCCATAAGGATGGGAGCCCTTTTTGGCCAGAACTCCTTCCCTAACTGTGGACAGTCCCCCACCTGGTATCTGGTATCTTTGGGGTGCACAGCTACAGCCACATCTCCCAGCATTGTCTCGATCCGAGTTGTTGCCACCACCACCTCCTCGTCGCTATCTGGGGTGACAGAAGGCCTTGTGGTCTTGGCCTTGGCCCCTTCCTGCCACTCCCAGCCCAGGATCCTGGTGCCCCTGGCTCCTACCTGAGCCTTGGACCTTATAGGCAAAGGACACGAGGACCCCGAACTCCACCTTCTCCTTGTAGCCAGGCACGGAGAGCAGGGTGCGACCTGTCAGCTCCTTCTTATCCACCTGTAAAATGGGTATTTAGAGGCGTGGCCCAGGGGCCAGGGCCAGGGCCAGGGTAGATTGGAGATGGAGACAGGCCAGGTTGGGGGGCGCACCTCAATGTCAGAGATGGCGGAGTTGAGGGTGCAGGACCAGTTAACAAGGCGGGTACTGCGATAGATGATGCCTTCCTCGTGAAGCCGGACAAAGGCCTCTGTCACAGCTGCTGAGAGTTTCTGGGGTGGAGGAGGGAGAAGTCAGAGAGATGGGCCTTGTGCCTGGAGGCCCAGGCAGACACCCAGGGCTCCAGTGAGGCCTTGCCCATACAGAGTCCCACTGGCCAGCACAAAGACCCCTCTGAGGGGAGTACTTTCCTTCTTTCCTTGAGGGGGAGAGAGGACTAAGGGAACACAAGAGCAGGCAACAAGCCTTGTAATGCTGCAGATGGCGAGGAAGACAATCAGCTGGGGACAAGTACTGGTGCAGAGGACACTGGGAGTTCAGGCTCCATGGGAGACGGGGTCCTGATCATGTGCCATCTGGAGGAATCTGGAGCTCCCAGAGCCAAGACAGGGAACATGAAGGGCCATGATATGGAAAGGGCCATGGCGAGGGGTGGGAAGTGGCATTTGCAGCTGAGCCCTCCATGGTGTTTTACATGGGCCAGCTCCTGAGAGAGGGCCACAACACCTCTGCTTTCTCCTGTGGGGGTCCCACCCTGGGGAGACTCCTACTCCTGCCCCAGCTTTGACACTCCTCCCACGCACAGGGTCCATGGTGAAACAGGCTCGATCCCAGTCCAAGGAGCTGCCAAGCTTCTTCAACTGGTGGTAAATCCGGTCACCTTTCCTGGAAGCAGACAGGCTGAGGTCAGCACTCGTGCCTGGGCTAGAGGGAGACATCAGGTGGCTGACTGGGCAGTGTGGAGATCACCCATCCCCCTGAAATTTACCTGGGCCCTAGAGCCAACTGACTCTGCCTCTGTGGGAGGGTCTGACCCTGTGGCCAAGGGGTTACAGGTGACAGAGGTCTTCTGGATAGGGGACAGGGAGGCAGGGCTGCGATGCCCACAGGGATGCTGCATACTCACTCCTCCTTCCACTTCCAGACTTCCTGTAGAAAGGCCTCGCGGCCCAGCTGGTGCCGGCTCAGTCCCTGCTCACGCCATAGCTTCTTCTCCACCACCACCTGGGTGGCAATACCTGCATGGTCACAGCCAGGGTTCCACAGGGTGGTCTCCCCACGCATGCGGTGCCTGTTAGGGGGCATGGAGGACCAGAGGGTGAGCCAGGCCAGTGGGGCCTGGCACCAAAGAAAGCAGAGGCTTCAGGCAAGGAGTCAGTGGACTAAATAAAGAAGCAGGGAGGCCGGACGCGGTGGCTCACGCCTGTAATCCCAGAACTTTGGGAGGCTGAGGTGGGTGGATCACCTCAGGTGGGGGAGTTCGAGATGAGCCTGGCCAACATGGTAAAACCCCGTCTCTACTAAAAATACAAAATTAGCTGGGCATGGTGGCATGCGCCTGTAATCCCAGCACTTTGGGAAGCCGAGGTGGGTGGATCACCTGAGGTGGGGACTTCAAGATAAGCCTGGCCAATATGGTAAAACCCTGTCTGTATTAAAAATACAAAATTAGCTGGGCGTGGTGGCATGTGCCTGTAATCCCAGCTACTTGGAAGGCTGAGGCAGGAGAATTGCTTGAACCCGGGAAGCAGAGGTTGCAGCAAGCTGGGATCATGCCATTGCACTCCAGCCTGGGTGACAGAGTGAGACTCCGTCTCCAAAAAACAAACAAAAAAAAAAAGAAAGAAGCAGGGGTGGAGCTGGAACCCTTGTGATTCTAAAGCTAGTCAAGGAGAAAAGATTTGAAGGAAGAGCCAAGGCAATATGGAAAAAGAACAAAGACAGGCATGCGTGGTGGCTCACACCTGTAACCCCAGGACTTTGGGAGGCCAAGGCGAGTGGATCACTTGAGGACAGGAGTTCGAGACCAGCCTGACCAACATGGCAAGACCCTGTCTCTACCAAAAATATAAAAATTAGCCAGGATGGTGGTGCATACCTGTAATCCCAGCTACTTGGGAGGCTGAAGCACGAGAATCGCTTGAAGCTGGGAGGGGGAGGTTGCAGTGAGTTGAAATTGTGCCACTGCACTCCAGCCCGGATGACAGAGTGAGACTCTGTCTCAAAAAAAAAAAAAAAAAAAAAAAAAAAGAACGAAGAGGAGGCTCCTGCCAAACAGGATAGCAAAAGTTCTAATTGTTAAAATAAGTTACTAAACAGGAACAAAATAGTACCTGGAAACAGATACAAGCAAATTTAGTGTTTGTGAAAGTTGGCACTTCCTATCAGTAAAATAAGGATAAACTATTCAAAATGTTTGAAACAACTAGCTAATTATTTGGAAAAAATCTCCCCCTTACCAATAGTCACAAAAAGAAACTTTAGATAGATTAAAGAATTCAAGCCAGGCACAGTGGCTCAAGCCTATAACCCCAACACTTTGGGAGGCCAAGGTGAGAGGACTGCTTGAGCCCAGGAGTTGCAGACTAGCCTGGGCAACATAGTGAGACCTAGTCTCTGCAAAAAAAAAAAAAAAAAAGCCAGGCATGGTGGCGTGCACCTTTGTTCCCAGCTACTTGGGTGGCTGAGGTTGAGGCTGCACCAAGCTATGATTGTGCTGTGATCATGCCGATGCACTCCAATCTGGCCAACACAGTGAGAGAGACTCTGTCTCAAAAATAAATAAATAAACAAATAAATAAAAATAAAAAGTTGATATAACTCTATTCCATTAAAGTAATGGGAGTGTCTCACATTTTATTTAAACCACGTTCACTGGAAAAAAAATGTGGCTACCTTAAGAGTTTTATAAGAAGTATGTGGCCAGGCACAGTGGCTCACACCTGTAATCCCAGCACTTTGGGAGGCCGAGGCAGGCGGCTTACTTCAGGTTAGGAGTTCAAGACCAGCTTGGCCAACATGGCAAAACTCTGTCTACTAAAAATGCAAAAGAATTAGCTGGGCGTGGTGGTGCGTGCCTGTAGTCCCAGCTACTCAGGAGACTGAGACACAAGAATCGCTTGAACCCAAGTGGTTGAGGTTGCAGTGAGACGAGATCGCGTCACTGCACTCCAGCCTGGGCGACAGAGCGAGACTCTGTCTCAATTAAAAAAAAAAAAGTAGTCATTCTGTTTTCATGTAAACAAACTTGGAGGCCAGGTATGGTGGTTCATGCCTGTAGTCCCAGCACTTTGGGAGACTGAGGCAGGAGGATTGCTTGAGCCCAGAAGTTCAAGACCAGCCTGGGCAACATAGCGAGACCCTCTCTTGATTTTATTAAAAAATTGAAAAACAGGGCCGGGCGTGGTGGCTCACGCCTATAATCCCAGCACTTTGGGACGCCGAGGTACGCGAATCACGAGGTCAGGAGATCGAGACCATCTTGGCTAACACGGTGAAACCCCGTCTCTACTAAAAATACAAAAAAAATTAGCCAGGCGTGGTGGTGGGCTCCTATAGTCCCAGCTACTCAGGAGGCTGAGGCAGGAGAATGGTGTGAACCTGGGAGGAGGAGCTTGCAGTGAGCAGAGACTGCGCCACTGCACTCCAGCCTGGGTGACAGAGCAAGACCCCATTTCCAAAGAAAAAAAAAAAATTGAAAAATTGAAAAAACAAAAACGCAAACACAAACGCAAACAACTTGGCCATTGTATGTTATGTGTATTTAACAGAACTGTTGGCTGGACGAAGTGGCTCATGCCTGTCATCCTAGCACTTTGGGAGACCGAAGCGGGAGGATCACAAGGTCAGGAGCTCGAAACAAGCCTGACCAACATGGTGAAACCCCGTCTCTACTAAAAATACAAAAATTAGCCAGGTGTGGTGGCATGCGCCTGTAATCCCAGCTACTCAGAAGGCTGAGGCAGGAGAATCGCTTGAGCTCAGGAGGCAGAGGTTGCAGTAAGCGCGCATCACTGCACTCCAGCCTGGGAAACCGAGAGAGACTCTGTCTCAAAAAAACAAAAAAAACAAAAAAAAAAACAGGCCAGGCGCGGTGGGTCACGCCTGTAATCCCAGCACTTTGGGAGGCCGAGGTGAGCAGATCATGAGGTCAAGAGATCGAGACCATCCTGGCCGACAGGGTGAAACCCTGTCTCTACTAAAAAAAATACAAAAAATTAGCCAGGCGTGGTGGCGGGCGCCTGTAGTCCCAGCTACTCAGGAGGCTGAGGCAGGAGTATGCTGTGAACCTGGGAAGCAGAGCTTGCAGTGAGCCAAGATTGCGCCACCGCACTCCAGCCTGGGCGACAGAGAGAGACTCTGTCTCAAAATAATAATAATAATAATAAAAATAAAAAAATAAAACATATAACTGTTTTCCTAGCTCTCAGTTACTTGCAAAATGCACAATCAAACATTATATTCCCAGTGCTCAGAGCAGAGGTGGCACATAGTTGGGCCCAGTAAATATTTTTTGACCACATTAATTTAGTACATAAGACACCAGAAAAAATTCTCAAAATTTAAATATAATAAACCCTGGTTTCCAAAAATGGTAAAGTTATTTTAAAATACTTTTTAAAAAGATTTGTCACCTAGAATATTACTTTGTATTTATCACTAATTAAAATATTAACAGTGAAAACAAATAGTAACAGAAAACAGGAGAAACATTTACAATTAACAGGAAAACTACCACACAATAATACAACAAAAACATTTACAATATTTAACAAAAAAATTGATACCCAGAACAGGTAAAGAATTCTCAAAAAAAAAATTAAAAAGAAAAAGAACGAAGAATCAATAGAAAAACGGGGAAAAGATAGATACAGACAATTCACATATGGGTAAACCTGACTGGCCAAAAAACATGAAAATAGGCACAACTTCAATAGCAATCAGAAAGGTACAAAGTAAAACAACAGAGGTATTTTTTTGCCCATCAGATTGGCAAAACTAATTAGGCAACCCTAATGCTCAGGCTTAGCAAGGGTGGGGAAATGAACACTCTCACAGCAATTCCTGGAGGTATCAATCAGCAAAGCCATTCTGCAGGGCAACTTGGCAGCTTCCGTTTGTACTTAATATAGGTGTGCCCCTGCCGACCTAGCAGTTTCACTTCTTGATAGCTACACCAGCGAAACCCTTCCACACATGCTTCAGCAAGCATATAGAGCAGGGGTATCCAATCTTTTGGCTTCCCTGGGCCACATGGAAGAATTGTCTTGGGCCACAGATAAAATACACTAACACTGGCTGGGAGCAGTGGCTCACGCCTGTAATCCCAGCACTTTGGGAGTCCGAGGCGGGCGGATCACGAGGTCAGGAGATCGAGACCATCCTGGCTAACATGGTGAAACCCCGTCTCTACTAAAAATACAAAAAAAAAATTAGCCGGGCGTGGTGGTGGGCACCTGTAGTCCTAGCTACTTGGGAGGCTGAGGCAGGAGAATGGCGTTAACGTGGGAGGCGGAGTTTGGAGCTTGCAGTGAGCCGAGACTGTGCCACTGCACTCCAGCCTGGGTGACAGTGCAAGACCCGTCTCAAAAAATAAATAAATAAATAAATAATAAAAATAAATTTAAAAAAATACACTAACACTAACGATAGCTGATGAGCTAAAAAAAAAAAATCGCAAAAAAATTCTTAAATGTTTAAACAAAGTTTACAAATTTGTGTTAGGCTGCATTCAAAGCCGTCCTGGGCCGCATGTGGCCCACAGGCTGCAGGTTGGACAAACTTGATATACAGGGATGTGCATTAGAGTAAGGTTTTCAACAGAAAAAAAACAAAAAACAAAAAACAGAATGAATCATTAATTAAAAAGTGACTCCAGGCCGGGAGCAGTGGCTCACGCCTGTAATCCCAGCACTTTGGGAGGCCGAGGCAGGCAGATCACCTGAGGTCAGGAGTTTGAGACCAGCCTGGCCAACATGGTGAAACCCCATCTCTACTAAAAATACAAAAATTAGCCAGGCGCGGTGGCAGGTGCCTGTAATGCCAGCTACTTGGGAGGCTGAGGCAAGAGAATCGCTTGAACCTAGGAGGTGGAGGTTGCGGTGAGCCGAGATCATGCCACTGTACTCCAGCCTGAGCAAAAAGAGTGAAACTCTGTCTCAAAAAAAAAAAAAAAAAAAAAAAAAAAAGAATGACTTCACTATGGTACAGCCACACTATGAGATATTATGGAACAATTAAAAAGAAGGAAGTCAGTATGTGTGGTATGTGTGTAAGGACAAGGAAAGATCTCCAAGAGAAAGTATTAAGTGTAAGAAGAAAGCTAGATCATAACAAGTGTAATATGAACCCTTTATGTTAAAAAATAGAAAAGACTCACCCAAAAGGAGAACTATAAATTTCTATGGGTACGTGTATATGTAAGTAAATAGGAAAGATCTGGGAAGATACACATCAAAGTGATAACAATGGCTAAATCTTAGGAGGAAGTAGGTGTGGAGGGGGATGGTCAAGGAGATTTGAAACTTTAAATTTCTTACAAGAATATATTCATATATTTTGGTCAGTTGTGGTGGCGCATTCCTGTAATCCCAGCTACTTGGGAGGCTGAGGCAGGAGAATCACTTGAACCCAGGAGGCAGCGGTTGCCATGAGCCGAGATGGCGTCACTGCACTCCGGCCTGGGCAACAGAACAAGACTCTGTCCCCCCAAAAAAAAATATATATATTCATATGTTCCTAATTAAATTCAAAATAATGTTATTGTTACTAGAAAAAGAAGGGAGAGACTGGGTGTGGTGCCTCACACCTATAATCCCAGCACTCTGGGAGTCTGAGACAGGAGAATCACTTGAGCCAGGAGTTGGAGACCAGACTGAGCAACAAAGTGAAAACTCATCTTTACAAAAAATTAAATTAAATTAAATTAAAATTAAATAAAGAAAGAAGGGATAGAAGAGAGTCTGCAAGTGGCGGTGTTGCATGGGAGTACTGGACTAGGAGAGGAAGCTAAATGATCAGATTGGAATGACAGAGAGAAGTGTAGCACCACTGGGGGCAGAAGTGAGCACCAACCCAGAAGGAGAGAGGCTCGGGGGGCTGTCAGGGAAAAGGAGAGAGCCAGACTAGGCAGAGGGAACCAGAGGAAGGTGCAGATAGAAGCTCACCATCGAGTCAGGGAGTCCTGGATGGCGTTGGTGAGTGCATGGCCCAGGTGCAGGGAGCCTGTCACATTGGGGGGTGGGATGCACATCATGAAGACACCTCGGGGATTTGCTGCTGACACATTAGGACGCTGATGGTGGAGAAGGATGGCACATGTTTAAGGCCTCAGGTCACCTCTCCCAGCCCCTCCCAGGCAACACATCCTTCAGTCCTGCCCTTCCCCACCCCACCCACTCTGGGCCTGGGCAGCAGTGCCTACTCACCCCATACTCTGGCTTGAAGAAGCCCTGCTGCTCCCACCAAGGGTACCAGGCAGCCTCCACATACCGAGGGCTGTAGGAGTCGGGCATGGGGCCACTGACATCTGGGGGAGAGGAAGGGAGGGCTCAGTGCCGTGGCTGGGAGCACTCTGGGAAGGAGACGTGCTGGCAGAGAGGGATCGGGATCTCCGTCACTCACATCATAGGACAGGCATTTGAGGGGCCTAGAGGCAGGGCAGGGGGTCTGCAATTCCTCACCAAACAAAGTGGTGAGAGCAAGAATAGAGCAAGATAGGGTGAAAACTTAGAAGGGGCTGCTGAGGGGTGAGCCCCTTCCCACTCCTAGTACCTTTCTTTTCCCCGGGTGGGGTTGGGAGGTCATAGGTAATGACCCCAGGATCCCGTTTCTCCCTCTTCTCTGGTTTTGGTTTCTTCTGCTTGGGAGGGAGAAGACATAGGCCCAGGCATCAGCCAACCCATCACCGCACACATCAACTTTCCTTCCAGCTCCACCCTCGCCTCACCTCCCCTGGAGGTGGCTGCTGCTGTTGGATCTTCTGCTTCTGTTGGAATTTCTCTAGCTTCTCCCGTTTCTTTGCCTCTTTCTTGAGCTGAGCAGCTGTCTTTGGGAGGGCAGGAGCCTCGGGGCCTAGAGAGAGGTGCAGAAATTCAGACTCAGCCAGCTGGGGACCCTCTTGGACGGCCATACTAGGTTTCAGATGGGGTATTTTAGATGCCCGAGGTCTTGCCCATGCTGACCTCCCCCCTCTCCCTCCTCTCCCGCAGGACCCTGCCCCAGTGATTCTGCCATTTCTAGGAAAAAAAGAAAGTGAGTTGCATGGAAGGCCCCAGGGAAGCCCCTATCCTCCAACTCCTCGCCCTTCCTCACCTGGCTGATGAGAGAGAGGCCTGGCTCCTGAGTATAGAACCACTTCTCCTAGCACGGCTCGGAATTCTGGCTGCCGGACACACGTGACAAACCAGCGAGTCACATTATTCCAGATCCGGCGGGCAGGTGGGTCTAGGACCTGGAACAGGAAATAAATGACTCTTCTCAGTCACCCTACAGTGAGGTCTGAGGAGAGCAGTCTTGTTCTTCCCCAGGCCTGGTGACTCACGTATCGGAAAGGCAGCAGCAAGGCTGTGACAGCCGCCAGGTCAGCCAGAGTGGGGGCCTCCCCGGCCAAGTAGGTGTGCAGCCGAAGCCACTCCTCCAAGGGGCTCAGGGCCCTGCCCAGGGCCCCCAGCACAGCCTGGCAGGAAGGGGAAGAAGTGTGAGACAAGGTTTGGCCCACCTCCATCTCCCACCACAACCCAATCCATGTGGCCTCCCTCCACCCCACTCTCACAAATCACCACCTCTGAGTCCCATTTCTTCACTCAAATAGTCACAATAAAAATACTTCTGGGCGGATCACGAGGTCAGGAGATCGAGACCATCCTGGCTAACATGGTGAAACCTCATCTCTACTAAAAATACAAAAAAAAAATAGCCAGGCGTGGTGGCGGGCGCCTGTAGTCCCAGCTACTCGGGAGGCTGAGGCAGGAGAATGGCATGAACCCAGGAGGTGGAGCTTGCAGTGAGCCGAGATCACGCCACTGCACTCCAGCCTGGGCAACACAGCGAGACTCCGTCTCAGAAAAAAAAAAACAAAACACTTCTGACTCATCCAACAAATCCCTACTCAATACTTATGTGTTAGATGCAATATGTTAAGCATAGAAGTAAAGATTATATGAGGCATCTCAATAACTGCCAGGTTCAGAACATCAATAAATATGTATTAAGTACTTCTCCAGGGAATGAGAGGAAAACACGAACAGATGGACAGAACCCTGACCTGGTAGAGTTAACATTCTTGTAGGGGAACAACAAATGAGCAAATATAAAATGAAGTGCCCTATTTTTCTTAACTCCTATGAAGAAAAATAAAGCAGAATGAGGGGAACAGGGGCCAGGCGTGGTGGCTCACACCTATAATCTCAGCACTTTGGGAGGCCGAGGCGAGCAGACCATCTGAGGTTAGGAGTTCGAGACCAGCCTGGTCAACATGACAAAACCCCATCTCTACTAAAAATACAAAAAATTAGCCGGACAAGGTGGTGGGCGCCTGTAATCCCAGCTACTCAGAAGGCTGAGGCAGGAGAATCGCTTGAGCAGTGAGCTGAGATCGCACCATCGCACCGTGGCACTCCAGCCTGGGCAACAGAAGGAGATTCCGTCTCAAAAAAAAAAAAAAAAAAGAAAAGAAAAGAAATAAAAGAGGGGAACAAACAGGGAATTCCAGAAGAGAGGGACTCTATTTTATTTGTTTGTTTGGACAGACATTCTGAATGCAAGGACTCTATTGTAGATAGGGTGATCACAATATGAGGGAGCAAGTCAGGGTCTGCCACATTCATTCATCCATTCAAGAAATACTAATTTTCCATCATGTGCTCAATACCATGCAAGGAGGCAGAGTTGAAAGTACACCAAGGCACAGGTCTCCTTTGGAAGGACTGATAGTTACAATCTGGCAGGGTTATCTCTCCTCTCACTTACCTTCCTCATTTCATTTCTCTTTTATCTCCTCCCAGCAATTGTCATCTCTCCCTCACCCAGTCTTTTCCTACAATTCAAATAACTTCTATCCTCATCAATTTCAGACTCATCAAACTTTTACTAAGAGACTTTAAAAGTGCCTGGCACTAAACTATGTGCTCTGCGCACATCTTTTAATCCTATTAACTCAGTGAGGCAAGCATTACATCAACTTGCCTGCGTGTTCATAGACATAGGAAGACCAAGACACAGCGGGTCTATGAAACGTGCCCAGGGTTACCATACCAGTTGGCAATCTGGGATTTGATCACTCTTTTCCCACATCTGATGTACTACCTTCTTGTCTCATTGTCCATTCCAGTCCTCGCTTCCCTCCTCTGAATTTCTCCCCTCCCCCTCTTCTGTACAACCCCCTCACCTGGGGGTCCTGGGCCGAGCTTCGGAGTCCCAGGGCCGGCAGCGTTGCTCCACAGGCAGCTGGTATTAACTCCGTGTCGGCGTAACTGACCCACTGTTGGACAAGGACAGCCGCCCGGCTGCCCCCTGGGCCCCCCAGGCCTGCTGGCCACAGCAGCTGGGCCACAGCCGTGGCCCCCCACACCCAGAGCCCACCGGGCCCCTGCTCCAGGGCCGGCAGGCGGGGTGGGGGAAAGCTAGTCCTGCTAGTCGGGGGTGGCTGGAGACAGATGCGGGGGTGGGCTCCTCCCCATCCGGGACCCTCCCCAGCCTCCCCATAGCGAGCGGCTATGAGGGCTCGGAGGCTGGGGAAGGCATCTGGGTGAGGGGAGACGTAGAGGGTGGACATAGTTATGAGAAGGTCCGAACGAAGTGGAAAAACCTAAGGAGAAAGAGAGACAGGGGAAGACTGCGGGATCGAGGTGGGTCCTATGTTTGAGTAGAGAGGGGACCCTCACGGGAGCTCCTTCGCCGCAGACACCCGAGTCCCATAGGACTGAGGGTCTGACCAGGCAGGCTGTCAGGAGCCGAGGACCTGGCTCTCAGAGGGGCAGTGTCAGTGGGGAGTTCCTGGGGAAGAGGAACTATCCACCATCGCGGGGCTTCGGGGAGTGTGGAAGGCTCTCAGGAGCGGGTCGGCGTCTGGTTGGATGCGGGTTCGAGCCGCGTGTACGTACTGGAGGGAGATGGTCAGACTGGGCCGGGAATCCACCTCACAGCCAGGCGCCGGCCGCGGCTGGACCGGCCGAGCGGCCCGGGCGGAGGAGTCGAGCGGGCAGAGACGGTGGGCGGCTCTCCAGGTGACCCTAGTTCCCTAAGATCGCCGCCCCGGCAGCCGGCGCCCACGTGTTCCCCCCTTTGTGACAGGGAGCGTTTCCGGGCCTGCGGGTCCTGGCGGGGGCGGCCGTGCCCCGCCTGCGAGTGCGCGCCCGCCGTGTCCGACACTGCCCCGGGGGCCGCGCGGCTCGCCGCCCGCCGGTCTCACGAGGAACAGCGCGGGGCGCGGGGCGCTGGGCGCGGACGCAGGACGAGAGGACACCCCTGAGCACGACGCTCCCGTCAGGCGCCGCCACGGGCACCTTGTGCGGGTCCTCGGCCGGGTGGCGAGGGCGGCGCCCAGCGGGCAGCTAGGGAACTGGCCCAAGAGGGTCGGCCGGCCCTGCCGGTGGAGGGCGTTCCCCACCCGGTAGCGGGGAGGTGCCCAGCAGGGAGCCGCCTGATGAGGACCGAAGGGGAGGTCCATTTGCCGAGGCCCTGGCGTCCAGCTTCCTCTTTGAGCCTCATCTCCTCATGTATGAAAAAAGGGTGACGGCCGGGCGCAGTGGCTCACGCCTATAATCCCAGCACTTTGGGAGGCCGAGGTGGGCGGATCACCTGAGGTCAGAAGTTCAAGACTAGCCTGGCCAAGGTGGTGAAAGCCCGTCTCACGCCTGTAATCCCAGCACTCTGGGAGGCCAGGGCGGGTGGATCACCAGGTCAGGAGTTCAAGACCAGCCAGGCCAAGATGGTGAAACCCCGTCTCTACTAAAAATACAAAAATTAGCCAGGTGTGGTGGCAGGCGCCTGTAATCCCAGCTACCCCGGAGCCTGAGGCAGGGAATTGCTTGAACCCTGGAGGTTGAGGTTGCAGTGAACTGAGATCGTGCCACTGCACTCCAGCCTGGCGACAGAGCTGCAGTATTTGTAAAAATACAAAAATTAGCCAGGCGTGGTGGCACACACCTGTAAGCCCAGCTACTTGGGAAGCTGAGGCAAGAAGATCACTTGAACCTGGGAGGCGGAGATTGCAGAGCTAAGATCACACCACTGCAGTCCAGCCTGGGTGACAAAGTGAGACTCCATCTCAAAAAAAAAAAAAAAAAAAAAAAATTAGCCGGGCATGGTGGTGGGCATCTGTAATCCCAGCTACTCAGGAGCTGTGGCAGGAGAATCGCTTGAACCGGGAGGCGGAGGTTGCAGTGAGCCAGACCAAGCCAGTGCACTCCACCCTGGGCAACAGAGTGAGACTCCCGTCTCAAAAACAAAAAGGAGGGTCACACTAGATGGTCTCTAAGGGTCCCTTAAGGCTGAGAAGTCTCATCTGTATCATGAACTCATATTTGCTGAATGAGTGAATGAAGTTTAGTAATTCCCAGTCACAACTTTTCTCTAAAATATAAATTACATCACTTGTATTTATCTTCTATACATATTCAGAAAACATGAACTGATTTGGTTGGATTGGTGAAGTCTGGTAGCATGAAATGTATCTTATGACACTATCACATTAATGGAAGGACAGCAAGCACTCCAGTTGCAGGTATGGTATAAGCAAAAGGCCACAGGGAGAACATACAGGTAGGGACATGTTGGGGAAACATGGTGTAGAGCAACTGTATTATATGCTTTATACCAAGGAGAGTAGTGGGAAGCTGAGTTGGATTCTTGGCTGGGTTAACGCAGAGTAACAGGGGCTTGGATGAATTCGACATCCTTTTCCATGTCCCAGCCCCCTGCCCAACACATAGTAACAGAACCAAAACACAAATTTGCATCATAAATTTTATTCCCGATGCGGGACAGATTCCTTCCATCCCCAAATGAATCACATGCTGCCCTGGAAAGACCTAGGAAACTCTCCTACCATCTCCAGAGAAGTAGTGAGAAAGGCAGGTGCTGGGGACTGGGAAGGCTTTGAAGTTTCCCAGCCTACTTATCCTCCCCTTCTCAAGAGAGGATAGCTGTTCCCTATTACTCCTCTCATCCACTCATCCCTTAAAAAAAACCCACAAAACCATCATTAGTAAAAAAACAAAACCCCTTCAAGTATTGGGGGTTAGGGGTTCTGGGCTGGGACTTGGGGTTATGGGTCACCAATGAAAGAGGGAGGGGAAGAGGAGGAGGAGCCATCACTGTTTCTGCTGCAGGGCTTCCTTCCTTGCCGCATCCTGTAGCAACTGTGTGTCGACCTCATCTGCTGGCAGCTGCACGTATCGGACCACTGAGCCCCGAATGAAGCAGTTCTTCACTGATAACTAGACAAAGATGGACAAATATGAAAACACCCTTAAAAATGTCCTCTAACCACCCAGGGGCCTCCTGCTTTAGAGGTGTTTCCTCTTCTCCACAGACCCCAACTCACCATGTGAGGGTATTTCTCAGGGTCTGTGACACTGATGTCAGTTAGTTTGATGTTGAGATACTAGGAAAGGAAGATGAACACCATTATTATTATTATTTTTTTTTTTTTGAGACAAGAGTTTTGCTCTTGTTGCCCAGGCTGGAGTGCAATGGTGCCATCTCGGCTCACTGCAATCTCCGCCTCCTGGGTTCAAATGATTTTCCTGCCTCAGCCTCTCGACTAGCTGGGATTACAGGTGCCCACCACCACGCCCAGCTAATTTTTTGTATTTTTAGTAGAGACGGGGTTTCACCATGTTTGTCAGGCTTGTCTTGAACTCCTGACCTCAGGCCTCGGCCTCTCAAAGTGCTGGGATTACAGGCGTGAGCCACCGTGCCTGGCCGACGAACACCATTATTAACCCTAGAGACATGATGTAAGAACCCAACCCTTAAGTCTCCCCTCTCCTTCTCCAGGAACCAATTCTGGGGCCCGTGCTATATCTCACCTGATCCACAGAATGGAGGGTTCCACAGATGCTGTCAAGGGCAGAGGGAGAGAAGAATCAAATTAGTTTATAACAAAGTCAACATAGAGGTGACTTCAGAGCTGGGATGAGAACATGACTGGGAGAAGTCAAGGACTTGAGGATGTCAGAAAAGGTAGAACCAAAAGGGGGCATTCCTAAGCCCTGGAGTAGGAAAGACAACTAACAGAGTAGTTTATTTTCAACCCCACATCTCCTCTCCCTAAACCAATCCATTCTTTTTTTTTTTTTTTTTTTTTTTGAGATGGAGTCTCACTGTCAGCCAGGCTGAAGTGCAGTGGTGTGATCTTGGCTCACTGCAACCTCTGCCTCCCAGGTTCAAGCGATTCTCCTGCCTCAGTCTCCTGAGTAGCTAGGACTTCAGGCGCATGCCATCATGCCCGGCTAATTTTTTATTTTTAGTAGAGATGGGGTTTCACCATGTTGGCCAGGCTGTTCCTTAACTCCTGATCTCAGGCGATCTGCCCACTTCAGCTCCCCAAAGTGCTGGGATTACAGGTGTGAACCACTGTCCCCGGCCAAACCAACCTATTCTTAACAGCTACCATTAAACAACTGGTAAAGGCTAGACCTGTATTCTATATAGTATTTGTAATCTTTACAGCCATCTTTCAAAGTAGTTATTACCTTCCAGGGGCTCAGAGAGGTTGTTTTAAACTTTATGAGTTTAGAACAAATGGGAACTTCAGTCCAAGTCTGTGTGACTCCCAAAACCATCAGCTATTTTTTTTTTATTTTTGCGACAGGGTCTCACTCTATGGCCAAGGCTGGAGTGAAATGGCGTGATCATGGCTCACTGTGGCCACTTGAGTAGCTGTGATTACAGGCTTGAGCCACCATGCCCAGCTGATTTTTTTTTGAGATGGAGTCTCGCTCTGTCGGCCAGTCTGGAGTGCAGTGGCACAATCTCGGCTCACTGAAAGCTCCATCTCCCAGGTTCACGCCATTCTCCTGCCTCAGCCTCCCGAGTAGCTGGGACTACAGATGCCGGCCACCACTCCTGGCTAATTTTTTGTATTTTTAGTAGAGACGGGGTTTCACCGTGTTAGCCAGGATGGTCTCGATCTCCTGACCTCATGATCTGCCCACCTCAGCCTCCCAAAGTGCTGGGATTACAGGCATGAGCCACCATTCCCGACTTTTTTTTTTTTTTTTTGTAGAGAAAGGGTCTCACTGTGAATGTCACCCAGGCTAGCTATTTTCAAACATTTATTGCTTTGGAACCAGAGCCCATATGTGGATAAAGGTAGGTAGCATTACTCTTGATGATGCAGGCATGAGTGATGTCCTCTCCATTCCCCAATCCTCGAGCCCCTTGAAATGCTATTTGAGGAATGCTATCAAAACACCAGTGCTCTTTGAGAGAATGGTGCAAAAATTTAAAAAAACAGCCTTTGGCTGGGAATGGTTGTTCACGCCTATAATCCAAGCATTCTGGGAGGCTGAGGCAGGAGGATCGCCTGAAGCCAGCTGGAGAACAGCCCAGACAACATAGCAAGACCTCATCTCTATTTTAAAGTTATAAAATAAAATAACTGTGGCCGGGCACGGTGGCTCACGCCTATAATTCCAGCACTTAGGGAGGACGAGGCGGGCGAATCACGAGGTCAGGAGTTCGACACCAGCCTGGCCAACATCGTGAAACCCCATCTCTACTAAAAATACAAAAAATTAGCTGGGCATAGTGGCAGACGCCTGTAATCCCAGCTACTCGGGAGGCTGAAGCAGGAGAATCACTTGAACCCGGGAGGTGGAGGTTGTAGTGAGGCGAGATCGAGCCACTGCACTCCAGCCTGGGTGACAGAGTGAGACTCCATCTCAAGAAAAATAAATAAATAAAAATAATCGTAATAAATAGCAGTTTTAAAAACGTCCTTATCTTGCCAAAAATAAAGTTGGCAGTTCTCTGCCCCAATTTTTGTAAAATTCTGAAAGTCTTTAAAACCCAGCGTCTAGGCCATGTGCGGTGGCTCATGCCTATAATCCCAGAACTTTAGGAGGCCAAGGTGGGCGGATCACTTGAGGCCAGGACTTCAAGACCAGCCTGGCCAACACGGCGAATCCCCATCTCTACTAAAAATACAAAAATTGGCCGGGCGTGGTGGCTCACGCCTATAATCTCAGCACTTTGGGAGGCCGAGGCGGGTGGATCACGAGGTCAGGAGATCGAGACCATCCTGGCTAACACGGTGAAACCCCGTCTCTACTAAAAATACAAAAAATTAGCCGGGCATGGTGGCGGGCACCTGTAGTCCCAGCTACTTGGGAGGCTGAGGTAGAAAAATGGCGTGAACTGGGAGGCAGAGCTTGCAGTGAGCGGAGATCACACCACTACACTCCAGCCTGGGTGACAAAGCAAGACTCCGTCTCAAAAAAAAAAAAATACAAAAATTAGCTGGGCATTGTGGTGTGCACCTGTAATCCCAGCTACTCAGGAGGTGAGGCACGAGAATCACTTGAACCCAGGAGGAAAAAAAAAATTTAAAAATAAAATATAAAAATACAAAAATTAGCTGTGTGTGGTGCATGCCTGTAGTCCCAGGTATACAGGAGGCTGAGGCACGAGAATCATTTGAACACAGGAGGTAGAGGTTGCAGTGAGCCAAGATCATGCCACTGCATTCCAGCCTCGGTGACAGAGTAAGGATCTGTCTCAAAAAAAAAAAAAAAAAAAAAAGACCCACTTAAATATGCTCTAGGAAATTAATTTAAATGAACTAGTACTAGGCAATCATTATTTTTTTTGAGACAGAGGGTGAGTCTCTGCCTAATAACAAAAACAAAAACAAACACCCAGTATCTGAAACCCACTGCCTCAGTAATGTTCTCACCATATTGCTAGCTGCTGAAAAACATTTGACAGCACCCCACCATCTCCAGCAGTGAAATAACATTTGGGAATTGTACAAAGTGGTGTCATTTTATTAAGTCCCTTAAGGAGGGGGAGATACATAGCACAAAAGTGGTCTGACAACAAACATAAGAGAAAGAACTTTTGGCCAGGCGTGGTGGCTCACACCTGTGATCCCAGCACTTTGGGAGGCTGAGGCAGGAGGATCACTTGAGGTCAGGAGTTTGAGGCCAGCCTGGCCAACATGGTGAAACCCCATCCCTACTAAAAATACAAAAAATTAGCTGGGAGTGGTGGCATGCACCGGTAATCCCAGCTATTCGGGAGGCTGAGGTGGAAGAATCACTTGAACCCAGGAGGCAGAGGTTGCAGTGAGCCAAGATCGCGCCACCGCACTCCAGCCAGGGCAACAGAGTGAGACCCTGTCTCAAGGAAAAAAAAGGAGAAAGATCTTCTTTCTCATCCCAACAGAAAAGTCACTTTAAAGCCACACACATATTGGCTCACACCTGTAGTCACTGCACTTTGAGAGGCTGAGGTGGGAGGATCACTTGAGTCCAGGAGTTCAAGACCAGCCTGGGCAACACGGCCGAGACTCTGTCTCTATGAAAAATTTTAAAAATAATATAAAAAGGCCGGGTGCAGTGGCTCACGTCTGTAATCCCAGCACTTTGGGAGGCCGAGGCAGGTGGATCACGAGGTCAGGAGTTCAAGACCAGCCTGACGAAGATGGTGAAACCCGATGTCTACTAAAAATACAAAAATTAGCCAGGTATGGTGGCAGGCACTTGTAATCCCAGCTACTTGGGAGACTGAGGCAGGAGAATCACTTGAACCCAGGCAGCAGAGGTTGCAGTGACCCGAGATCATGCCACTGCACTCCAACCTGGGTGACAGAGTGAGACCCCATCTCAAACAAAAATAAATAAATAAATAGAAAAAAAAGAAGGCTGGGCGCAGTGGCTCACACCTGTAATCACAGTACTTTGGGAGGCCGAGGTGGGCAGATCACAAGGTCAGGAGATTGAGACCATCCTGGCCAACGTGGTGAAACCCCTTCTCTACTAAAAATACAAAAATTAGCTGGGCGTGGTGGTGCATGCATATAATCCCAGCTACTCGGGAGGCTGAGGCAGGATAATCACTTGAACCAGGGAGTCGGAGGTTACAGCACCACTGCACTCCAGCCTGGCGTAGACTCGACCAGAGCGAGACTCGTCTCAATAAAAAAAAGAAAAAAGAAAAAGAAAAGAAATGTTACTACGGCCGGGTGCAGTGGCTCACACTTGTAATCCCAGTACTTTGGGAGGCTGGGGTGGGCAGATCACGAGGTCAGGAGTTGGGAGACCAGCCTGGCCAACATGGTGAAACCCTGTCTCTACTGAAGATACAAAAAATGAGCCAGGCGTTGTGGCGCATGCCTGTAATCCCAGCTACCAGGGAGGCTGAGGCAGGAGAATCACTTGAACCCGGGAGGCAGAGGTTGCGGTGAGCCGAGATCACGCCATTGCACTCCAGCCTGGGCGACAGGGCAAGACTCTGTCTCAAAAACAAAATAAAATAAAAAAAATAAAGGTACTTTAGGGCCTAGGGTTATAACACAACAGTTAGGCTTCCCATGTAAAAGGCCCAGGAAGGAGAAAAGAGGAGAATCAAAAACAAGTCATCACACCAAATTGCCTAAGACTGATAGTGATTACCGTACTTGTCTTGCTCTGTGGCCCCAATCTATACACATCAATATCACTTGCATTGCCAGTGCTACAAATGGAAACCTGTGTTCTAAAACGCAAAGGCCCTTAAGTCCCTCTCCTCACCATTCCCTGCCCTGTCAACGTGTAACCCATGAAAAAATTATCTCACATAGAAATGTGGAAGACAGCCAGACACAGTGGCACACACCTGTAATTCCAGCACTTTGGGAGGCCAAGGTGGCAGGACTGCTTGAGCCCAAGAGTTTCAGACTAGCCTCGGCAACACAGTGAGACTCTGCCTCTCCAAATAATTAAAAAATTAGCTGGGCATGGTGGCATATAGCCCCAGCTATTCAGGAGGCTGAGTGAGCTATGGTGGTGCCACTGCACTACAGCCTGGACAACAGAGTGAGACCCCCATCTCAAAAAAATAAATGTGGAAGACGCTTTTGGGAAGAGAATACAATTGATCCCATCTTTCTAAAGGATAATGAGGTAACAGGTATCAATATTTTAAATGTACTTTTTTTTTTTTTTTGAGATGGAGTCTCAGTCTGTCGCCCAGGCTGGAGTGCAGTGGCCTGATCTCAGCTCACTACAACGTCCGCCTCCCGGGTTCATGTGATTCTCCAGCCTCAGGCTCCTGAGCAGCTAGGATTACAGGCGCACAACACAACATCTGGCTAATTTTTGTATTTTTAGTAGAGATGGAGTTTCACCATGTTGGCCAAGCTAGTCTCAAACTCGTGACCTCAGGCATCCACCCGCCTCGACTTCCCAAAGTGCTGGGATTACAGGTATGAGCCACCGCATCTGGCCTAAATGTACATATTATTTAAAGGACTGTACAGATAAGTACAGGGCCAGGTGTGCTGGCTCATGCGCGTAACCCCAGCACTTTGGGAAGCTGAAGCAAGAGGACTGCTTGAACTCAAAGAATTTGAAACCAGCCTGAGCAACAAAGTGAGGCACTGTCTCTAATTTTTAAATAAATAAATATTATTTTAAGAAAGAAAGTAGGACTAGGCGCAGTGGCTCACGCCTGTAATCCCAACACTTTGAGAGGCTGAGGCAGGTGCATCACAAGGTCGAGAGTTCAAGACCAGCCTGGCCTAGATGGTGAAACTCCATCTCTACTAAAAATACAAAATTTAGCCGGGCATGGTGGTGGGCACTTGTAATCACAGCTACTAGGGAGGCTGAGGCAGAGAATTGCTTGAACCCAGGAGGCAGAGGCTGCAGTGAGCCGAGATTACGCCATTGCAGTCCAGCCTAGGTGACAGACTGAAACTCCATCTCAAAAAAAAAAAAAAAGAAAGAAAAAAAGCTGGACAGAATCATATTTCAGTTGTGTCACTTACTAGTTTTGTAGACTTGAACAAGTGGTATAGCTGATCTAAGCCTCAGTTTCCTCGTGTAAAACAGCAATAGTATATATTACTTAGCAGTGTTTGAGAAATCAATCAATAAATGTATTCAGAATAGTGGTTAGTCAATACGTCTTCGGATATTATTTTTCTTTCTTTAAGCACCTATCATATAACTGGCCTATGCTAGGTATTAGATACACTACATGGTTTCACCATGTTGGCCAGGCTGTTCTCGCTCTCTTGACCTCGTGATCCACCCGCCTCAGCCTCCCAAAGTGCTGGGATTACAGGCATGAGCCATCGTGCCCGGCCTATGGCCTGTTCTTTTTTTTCTTTTTTTTTTTTTTTTTTTTTGAGACGGAGTCTTGCTCTGTCACCCAGGCTGGAGTGCGGTGGCACCATCTTGGCTCACTGCAAGTTCCGCCTCCCAGGTTCACGCCATTCTCCTGCCTCAGACTCCCAAGTAGCTGGAACTACAGGAGCATGCCACCACGCCTGGCTAATTTTTTGTATTTTTAGCAGAGACAGGGTTTCACCATGTTAAACAGGATGATCTCAATCTCCTGACCTTGTGATCCGCCTGCCTCGGCCTCCCAAAGTGCTGGGATTACAGGCGTGAGCCACCGCGCCCGGCCTGGCCTGTTCTTTTTTTGAGACAGAGTCTTCCTCTGTCAACCAGGCTGGAGTAAAGTGATACAATCATGGCTCACTGCAGCCTTGACCTCCTGGGTTCAAGTGATCCTCCCACCTCAGCCTCCCGAATAGCTGAGACTACAGGCATGTACACTACACCTGGCTAATTTTTTATAGAAATAGAGGTCTCATCACTATGTTGCCCAGACTAGTCTCGACATCCTGGACTCAAGTGATCCTCCTGCCTCAGCCTCCCAAAGTGCTGAGATTACAGGTGTGAGCCACCATGGCCAGCCTAGTACTTACTTTTTTTTTTTTTTTGAGACAGAATCTCACTCTGTCACCCAGCTGGAGTGCAGCAGTGTGATCTCAGCTCACTGCAACCTCTGCCGCCCAGGTTCAAGCGATTCTCCTGCCTCACCCTCCCGAGTAGCTGGGATTACAGGCACCAGCCACCGTGCCCGGCTAATTTTTGTATTTTTAGTAGAGACAGGGTTTCACCATCTTGACCGGGCTGGTCTTGAACTCCTGACCTCGTGATTCGCCCACCTTGGCCTCCCAAAGTGCTGGGATTACAGGCATGAGCCACACGTCCAGCCCGTGAGCCACTGCGCCTGACCTGTATTTACTCTTTAAACTATATATTGCTTTGTATTGTTTTCCAATACACGATACAATCTCTAAGCTTATCTGTAAATTTAAGGCACAAGGCATTTATTTATTGCTAAATTTTAAAATTTTTCTTAGAGATGGGGTCTTGCTCTATTGCCTGGGCTAGAGTGCAATGGAGTAATCACTGCTCACTGCAGCCTCAAACTCCTGGGCTCAAGCTTTCCTCCTTCCTCAGCCTCCCAAAGTGCTGGGATTACAGGCTTGAGCCACTGCACCCTATCCATTTATTTCTTCTGTACATCTTCCACCTCGCCTAGCCCTGAAATATTTCTCAAATTAAAGAGGTTCCAGGGCCCTGGGCACACCCACCCCCAACAGACTTGTTGGAACAGGTACCTACCTCAGGTCATTCTTTAGTTCCACGACCACATCCTTGCCCACAAGGGACTTGAAAAAAGAATAGAAGAGCTATTGGGAGAGAGGGGGAAAACCATCATGTGGGAAGGAGCATGGTAGGGAGGAGTGTCCTTTGACAGTATTACCAAATACTGGTATTGTGAACCCCACTGCATCCCTGACAGTTCTCAAAATTTCACAGGAAAGAATAATTGGTTGACAGAGCTGAAAGGCTGGAGCCCAAATTATTCTGCACACTGCACTGAGCCCATCACTTAAAGTCCCAGAGAGACTCTGCCCTGCATACGTCGGCCTCCCCACTGTGCTCTCTCAGTCGACCACCTTTCTCGGGTACCTGCCCACTCCTTTCAATGAATTGTAGAAAATATCCCACCCGCACCCTGCCGAAGCTTGCCTGGCAGAGAAGTGCTCTGAGGTCTAACTTTTCCGTCTCCCGCTATCCTCACTGAATCTCTCTCAGGGTTGGGGTTTTTTCCCTCATCATGGAAAAAATATCCCATTTGTTCTCAGTGCCTCCTCAATGAACCTGAGAAACAGTACAGTACTAAAGATGAAGATAAAAACTCCGGACCTAACTCCAGCCTAGGGGTACAAAGGCCAGATCCCCCGCCCCAACCATGCGAGGTCCCCGAGGGCGCCCCCTTTTGACGTCACGGTACCCACCATGGTGCTGGCGCCGCGGGCAGCGGGCCGGACCGGGAAGACAGCAGGGTGCTGCGAGCAGGTCTGGGGAAACCGAAGCGCGAGCCCGCGCGTGGGGCGAGGCGGGACCGCGCAGGCGCAGCGGGAAGCGACGCAGAAAGCTCCAAGCGCTGACGGGCAAAGCGCGGCCGACTTGCGGCTGGGGAGCGCAAGCTGGGTAGAGTAGAGGGGAGGAGGAAGCCGGGAAAGGGGCGGGGTTTCCTTCATTCCGACTTCCTCCCTGGCCGGCCGGCTCCCATTGCGCAGGCGCGGACCCTAGCCTGGGCTGCCAGACGGGTGGCGGGACTCAGCGCCTGAGCTCAAAGGATTTTGTTCTTTTCCAGAATCCTGCCATCTACAGCGTGATGTGTTTGTGCCCTACACACACTTCCTATCGAGAATTGTGGGGAGTTTGTTAAGATTATGAAGTGTGCACTTTTCTATATTTGTTAAAGTAAAAACATAAAATTTAAAAAATAAAATTAAAAAATGTTTTGAATCTTAAATTCAGCTGATAAAAAGAAAAAAAGGCCGAGGGCCGTGGCTCAAGCCTTTAATCCCAGCACTCTGGGAGGCCTAGGTGGGTGGATTGTGTGAGGTCAGGAGTTCGAGACCAGTCTAGCCAACATGGTGAAACCCCATCTTCACTAAAAATACAAAAAAAATTAGGCGTGGTCGCAGGCTCCTGTAATACCAGCTACTCGGGAGGCTGAGGGAAGAGAATCGCTTGAACCTGGGAGGCGGAGGTTGCAGTGAACCGAGATCGCGCCACTGCACTGCAGCCTGGGCGACAGAGCAAGACTCCGTCTCAAAAAAAAAAAAAAAAAAAATGACCGGGAGCAGTGGCTCACACCTGTAATCCCAGCACTTTGGGCGGCCAAGGCAAGTGGATCGCCTGAGGTCAGGAGTTCGAGACCAGCCTGGTCAACATGGCGAAATTCTGTCTCTACTAAAAACCCAAAAATTAGCCGGGTGTGGTGGCACGCGCCTGTAAATCCAGGAGGCATAGGTTGCAGTGAGTGGAGATCTTGCCATTGCACTCCAGCCTGGGCAACAAGAGCAAAACTCCATCCCAAAAAACAAAAAATGTTGAGGCCTGTAAATCCCAGCATTTGGGGAGGCTGAGGCAGGAGGATCATTTGAACCCAAGAGTTACAGTGAGCTACAATCTCCCCACTGCATTCCAGCCTGGGTGACAGAGCGAGACTCTCTCTAGAAAAAAGAAAATTATAAACAAACAACGTTGAGCAGTCCCAGAGATAAGGAGGAGCTGGAGCACAAATTTTGATTTTATCAAAGGTTACCAATAAATACATTTCTCCAAAGGAGCCAACCTCAATCTCCGCATTTCTTACACACTTTTGCCAAGACTGTCCTGTAAAGGACTGTGTAAAACTAAAGAGACTGTGGCTCACAGATACAAATAACCCAGTCTAACATTTCACTGTTAAATGTTTCAAACACAAACAGACAGAAATGCAGTTACATATTATTCTAACTCATATCCCCCAGGTTTTTATAAATATGTATTAGGACACAGGTAAAAGAAAAAAATGTTTTTGAGATGGAGTCTCGCTCTATCACCAGGCTGGAGTGTGGTGCCACGATCTCAGCTCACTGCAACCTCCACGTCCCGGGTTCAAGCGATTCCTCTGCCTCACCCTCCTGAGTAGCTGGGACTACAGGCACGCATCACCGTCCTCAGCTAATTTTTGTATTTTTAGTAGAGACGGGGTTTCACCATGTTGGGCAGGATGGTCTCAATCTCTTGACCTCATGATCCGCCCGCCTCGGCCTCCCAAAGTGCTGGGATTACAGGCGTGAGCCACTGTGCCCAGCTGGTAAAAATATTTTTTCATGGACTGAGACTTCATAAAACTTGTATTTGTCATCTTGCATAGACATACTTATTTGTCAAGAGTTTGTTATAGAAATATTTTCTGGGGCTGGGCACGGTGGCTCACGCCTATAATTCCAGCACTTTGGGAGGCTGAGGTGGGTGGATCACCTGAGGTCAGGAGTTCAGAACAGCCTGGTCAACATGGTGAAATCCCGTCTCTACTAAAAACACAAACATTAGCCGGGCATGGTGGTGAGCGCCTGTAATCCCAGCTACTCATGAGGCTGAGGCAGGAGAATCGCTTGAATCTGGGAGGCAAAGTTTGCAGTGAGCCGAGATCGTGCCATTGCACTCCAGCTTGGGCGACAAGAGCGAAACTGTTTCCAAAAAAAAAAAAAAAGAAAAGAAATATTTTCTCCATGTAATGGATGTAAACAATGAACTCTGTGAGTGCATAGATGCTGAATCTCCTGGACCTTACCTATAAGTGACATCAGGACATCAAGCAGGATTTGTCCCTCCACCCCCAGTTGAGTCCTAAACTCCAAAACCAGCTTGTAACTGATTAAAAGCAGTTATAGTTTGCCATCTGTTCCATCTGTGCTAAAGGTGTCTGAGGATCAAAAATTATGTGGCTGATTGAAACAATGAGTTCATGGGCCGGGCACGGTGGCTCACGCCTGTAATCCCAGCACTTTGGGAGGCCGAGGCGGGCGGATCACGAGGTCAGGAGATCGAGACCATCCTGGCTAACACAGTGAAACCCCGTCTCTACTAAAACAATACAAAAAATTAGCCGGGCATGGTGGGGGGCACCTGCAGTCCCAGCTACTCGGGAGGCTGAGGCAGGAGAATGGCGTGAACCCAGGAGGCAGAGCTTGCAGTAAGCTGAGATTGTGCCACTGCACTCCAGCCTGGGTGACAGGGCGAGACTGTCTCTCAAAACACACACACACACACACACACACACACACACACACACACACACACACAAAATGAGTTCATGAAAATTCAAATACTTTACCCTTACCAATTTAATCATTCACAGTGACCTCACAATCAGAGAACACATGCTCTCTCCATGAACTCTCCCCTTCAAGGTACATTCACAGCCTAAATACCAGAAGTAATTTTCTTTACGAACAAATTTACTGATTGACAAATAAGCATCCACACAGGAAGAAGAATGTTAGGGTGGCTGGAAATAACAGACATTCAAATACATCACACGGTTTAAAGAGGGGCCTAGTTTTCCTGAGTCCATTCCAAAGTCAGAAACAGGATGTGAGGGAGTGTGATAGGTGGTGCATGAGACTCCTTCTCCAGAATTTCCAAGGGATGGTAACTTAGATTCAGGTCTGGTCAAGAATAATAATGATGTTTGAAGATGAGGGGAATGAAATACATGTAGAGGCATCCTAGGATGCTTCAGTTCTAAAAAGAATTAATCTACTTCTTCAATTGTGGGGCCTGTGGCAGGCCTTCCAGGCACATACCCTGTTCCGCAGGCAGGCCCAGTGCATCCTCCTTGGTAGAGTTTTGTGATGATAGGGTTACACATCTGCTTCAATTCCTTTCTCTTATGATCAAACTCATCTTTCTCTGCCAGTTGATTGACCTCCAGCCACGAAAGGAGCTCGTTGCATTTATCCAATATTTTATTTTTATCAGACTCACTAATCTTGCCCTTCAAACCTTCATCACTCACAACACTCTTCATGTTAAAAGCATAGGATTCTAAGGCATTCTTTGCAGCAATTTTCTCCCTCTGGACCTCATCTTCAGCTTTATATTTCTCAGCATCCAGAACCATGCGCTCAATCTCCTCCTTGCTCAGGCGGCCCTTGTCATTGGTGATGGTGATCTTGTTCACCTTGCCGGTGCTCTTGTCCATGGCTGTGACATTGAGAATACCATTGGCATCAATGTCAAACGTCACCTCGATCTGAGGAACTCCCCTGGGTGCTGGAGGGATTCCAGTCAGGTCAAACCGCCCCAGCAGGTTGTTGTCCTTTGTCATGGCCCTCTCGCCCTCATACACCTGGATCAGCACCCCGGGTTGGTTGTCAGAGTAGGTGGTGAAAATCTGTGTCTGCTTGGTGGGGATGGTGGAGTTGCGCTTTATCAGGGCAGTCATCACGCCCCCAGCCGTCTCCAGCCCCAGGGACAGGGGAGCCACGTCCAGCAGCAGCAGGTCCTGTACCTTCTCAGACTTGTCCCCCATCAGGATGGCTGCTTGTACCGCAGCCCCATATGCTACGGCCTCATCAGGGTTGATGCTCTTGTTGAGATCACGTCCATTGAAGTAGTCCTGAAGCAGCCGCTGCACCTTGGGGATGCGGGTGGAGCCCCCTACTAAAACAATGTCATGGATTTTAGCCTTATCCATCTTGGCATCCCGAAGCGCTTTTTCTACAGGCTCCAGGGTACCCCTAAACAGGTCTGCACACAACTCTTCAAATCGAGCTCTGGTGATGGATGTATAGAAGTCAATGCCTTCATAAAGTGAATCAATTTCTAGGTTGGCCTGGGTGCTGGACGACAGGGTCCTCTTGGCCCTCTCGCAGGCGGTGCGCAGCCGCCTCACGGCTCGCTTGTTCTGGCTGATGTCCTTTTTGTGTTTCCTCTTGAACTCCTCCACGAAGTGGCTCACAAGCCTGTTGTCAAAGTCCTCCCCACCCAGGTGAGTGTCCCCAGCAGTGGCCTTTACCTCAAAAATCCCATCATCTATGGTCAGAATTGACACATCAAATGTGCCTCCACCCAGATCAAAAATCAGGACATGTCGTTCTCCTTGACCTCCTTTATCTAAACCATAGGCAATGGCAGCAGCCGTGGGCTCATTGATGATTCTTAGCACATTAAGTCCAGCAATCACACCTGCATCCTTAGTAGCCTGACGTTGAGAGTCATTGAAATAGGCTGGCACGGTAATCACTGCATTGGTGACAGGGTGGCCCAAAAAGGCCTCAGCAGTCTCCTTCAACTTAGTCAATACCATCGAAGAGATTTCCTCAGGGTAGAAAGCTTTATTCTCCCCTTTGTAGGACACAAGGACTTTGGGCTTGCCTCCTTCATTAATCACTTGAAAAGGCCAAAGTTTCATATCTGCTTGTACAACAGGATCATTAAATTTCCTGCCGATCAGACGTTTAGCATCAAAAACAGTGTTCTGGGGATTCATTGCTACCTGGTTCTTGGCCGCATCCCCAATGAGCCGCTCGGTGTCTGTGAAGGCCACGTAGCTGGGGGTGGTGCGGTTGCCCTGGTCGTTGGCGATGATCTCCACCTTGCCGTGCTGGAACACCCCCACACAGGAGTAGGTGGTGCCCAGGTCGATGCCTATGGCGATTCCCTTGGCAGTAGCCATGGTTCTCTGAGGCCTATGGAGAAAGAATAAGATACTGTTTTGGGAGAGTGCTTTTCAATGTTATTTATTTTTTTGAGACAGGGTCTTCCTCTGTCACCCAGGTTGGAGTGCAGAGGCGCAGTCATAGCTCACTGCAGCTTTGATCTCCTAGGCTCCAGCAATCTTCCTGCCTTAGCCTCCAGAATAACTGGAGACAACATGCCCGGCTAATTTTTTTTTTTTTTGAGACGGAGTCTTGCTTTGGACTGCAGTGGTGTGATCTAGGCTCACTGCAACCTCCACCTCCTGAGTTCAAGCGATTCTCCTGTCTCAGCCTCCCGAGTGGCTGGGATTATGAGGGCACCACCACGCCCAGCTAATTTTTGTATTTTTAGTAGAGATGGGGTTTCACGGTTTCACTATGTTGGCCAGGCTGGTCTCAAACTCCTGACCTCAGGTGATCCGCCCGCCTCGGCCTCCCAAAGTGCTGGGATTACATACGTGAGCCACCGTGACCAGCTCTCTGCCTGGCTAATGTTTTAATTTTGTGTACAGATGGGGTCTCCTTATGTTGCTCAGGCTGGTCTCAAACTCCTTCAGGGCTCAAACGATCCTTCAGCCCCAGCCTCCCCAAGTACTGGGATTACAGGAGTGAACATCTCGCCCAGCCTATTTTTTATTTTTTATTGTGGTAAAATACATACAAATTGTACCATCTTAACCATTTTTAAGTGTAGAGTTTGGTAGTGAGTTCAATCACAGCGGTGTTCAACCAATTTCCAGAATTCTGTTCATCTCGCAAAACTGAAACTGTATACTCATTAAGTAACTCCCGTTTTCCCCTCCCTTTATCGCCTGGTAACAACCATTTTTTTTTCTCATTTTTTAGAGACAGGGTCTCGTTTTGTCACGCAGGCTGCACTGCAGTGGTGTAATCATGGCTCACTGCAGTCTTGACCTCCCAGGCTCATAGGATCCTTTTGTCTCAGCCTCCCAAGTAGCTTGGACCACAGGTGAATGCCACCACACCCAGCTAATTTTTTATTTTTTTGTAGAGACCAGGTCTCCCTGTTGCCCAAGCTAGTTTCTCACTCCTGAGCTCAAGGAAACCTCCTCCCACCTCCAAGTCACCAAGTGTTAGGATTATAGGCTTGAGCCAAGGCGCCCGACCTCTTTTTTCTATCTCTATGAATTTGACTACTCTTGTAACTTCATATAAGTGGAATTATACAGTATTTATCCTTTTGTGACTTTGCTTATGTCACTTAGCTTATGTGCACAGGTTTCATCCATGTTGTAACATGTCACAATTTCCTTCCTAAGGCTGAGTAATATTCATATTTATATACCACTGTTTTTGATTTTGTTTTGAGACAGAGTCTCACTCTGTTACCCAGGCTGGAGTGCAGTGGCATGATCTTGGCTCACTGCAACCTCCACCTCCTGGGTTCAAGCTAATTCTCCAGCCTCAGCCTCCCGAGGAGCTGGGACTACAGGCGTGCACTGCCACGCCCAGATAATTTTTGTATTTTTAGTAAAAACAGAGTTTCACCATGTTGACCAGGATGGTCTCAAACTCCTAACCTTAAGTGATCCGCCCGCCTCGGTCTCCCTAAGTTCTGGGATGGCAGGCATGAGCCACCACCGCACCCGGCCTATATACATTTTGCTTATCTATCTCTCGATGGATACAGATTACAGAATTTACAGAATAATGTTGCTATGAGCAAGCCTATACAAATACATGGAGACGCTACTGTCATGGCAGACTGCTTTTTGGACAGGGTAGACAAAAGTATTCTCAGCTACTCAAAGAAGTTGGGAAGCAAGTAGCTGTATATTGTTTTCAATTTCCCAAGTGACCTAATTCTACTGTCCTGTTCCTATATATTTTACTGTGGGATTCTGTCTCTTTATGACCCAAGAGTAGTGTACATTCTGGTCTCTTCAAGAGACATCAGCCTCCACACTTGAGTTCTGCTGCCTTCCTGGGATAATATTCTCTATTAGGGGTTCACCGGCAGTAAATTCCAGTCAGGCTGAAGATGACTGCTAGAAAACCACAAGCCTTCCAGTTTTCTCAAACGACATGGCACTCCAGACAGTATCTGTATCCTTCTCCTAAATAAAACTCCTGTTTTCTGGAGCCAATAACTGATCAATAAAGGGTTTAAGGGCGGGGGGCGGTGGCTCACGCCTGTAATCCCAGCACTTTGAGAGGCCGAGGCGGGCGGATCACGGGGTCAGGAGAACGAGACCATCCTGGCTACCATCCTGGCTAACACGGTGAAACCTCGTCTCTACTAAAAAATAGAAAAAATTAGCTGGGCGTGGTGGCGGGCGCCAGTAGTTCCAGCTACTCGGATGGCTGAGGCAGGAGAATAGCTTGAACCCGGGAGGTGGAGCAATTAGCCGGGCGCGGTGGCGGGCGCCTGCAGTCCCTGCTACTCGGAAGGCTGAGGCAGGAGAATGGCCTGAACTCGGGAGGCAGAGCTTGCAGTGAGCCAAGATCGTGCCACTGCACTCCACCCTGGGCGACAGAGCGAGACTCCGTCTCAAAAAAAAAAAAAAAATTAAAAATAAATAAATAAAAATAAAATAAAGGGTTTAGTGTCTATCCCTCTCCACACCGCAGATTCCTAGGCCGCACTCCCTTTCCCCCGCTTCCCAGTTACCCCGCCTCCCCCTTACCCCGCCTTCCCCGCCTCCCCATTTCCCCGACAGGCCGCACTCCCTTCCCCCGCCTCCCCCATTCTGGCTGCTCCGACCAATCAATCTGAAGCCATCTTAGCTTTCCCCAAGTGCTCCTCCTACCCGGATCAGCCAACGCCCACATACCTCAGGCTTAAACCAACTAGGGAACTTTCCAGTACTTTCCCAAACAAGGACCTACTGAGCCTTTCAGGTTCACAATCAATCAGATCCCTACTGGCTCACCTAGTCTCCCGACGCCTTCGCTTCAGTTTGGAAACGTCCAGATTACGCAGCCCCAGCGAGTAGGTGGGGGCTCCCTCAATATCAAACTGCACAACCGGGGTCCCCCCACCCCCCACCCCGTCCCTCCCTGCAAATTTGAGACGGCTCCAACTCAGTAATCTTTTTCCAAACTGGCCCATGAGGTCAGAGACAGTATCTCCATTGTAACGTGGCCGGGCGGTGTCAACACAAACGCCCCCACCCTCCCCTGGACGCGCGTAACCCGCTCCCCGCACCAGCCCCCTGCCCACAACTGCGCAGGCCCAGCAAGCCCCCACAATTAAAAGCCCAGCGCCGACCCTTCCTGTCAATTAGGCGCTGAAGCGCAGGCGGTCAGCATCGCCATGGAGACCAACACCCTTCCCACCGCCACTCCCCCTTCCTCTCAGGGTCCCTGTCCCCTCCAGTGAATCCCAGAAGACTCTGGAGAGTTCTGAGCAGGGGGCGGCACTCTGGCCTCTGATTGGTCCAAGGAAGGCTGGGGGGCAGGACGGGAGGCGAAAACCCTGGAATATTCCCGACCTGGCAGCCTCATCGAGCTCGGTGATTGGCTCAGAAGGGAAAAGGCGGGTCTCCGTGACGACTTATAAAAGCCCAGGGGCAAGCGGTCCGGATAACGGCTAGCCTGAGGAGCTGCTGCGACAGTCCACTACCTTTTTCGAGAGTGACTCCCGTTGTCCCAAGGCTTCCCAGAGCGAACCTGTGCGGCTGCAGGCACCGGCGCGTCGAGTTTCCGGCGTCCGGAAGGACCGAGCTCTTCTCGCGGATCCAGTGTTCCGTTTCCAGCCCCCAATCTCAGAGCGGAGCCGACAGAGAGCAGGGAACCGGCATGGCCAAAGCCGCGGCGATCGGCATCGACCTGGGCACCACCTACTCCTGCGTGGGGGTGTTCCAACACGGCAAGGTGGAGATCATCGCCAACGACCAGGGCAACCGCACCACCCCCAGCTACGTGGCCTTCACGGACACCGAGCGGCTCATCGGGGATGCGGCCAAGAACCAGGTGGCGCTGAACCCGCAGAACACCGTGTTTGACGCGAAGCGGCTGATCGGCCGCAAGTTCGGCGACCCGGTGGTGCAGTCGGACATGAAGCACTGGCCTTTCCAGGTGATCAACGACGGAGACAAGCCCAAGGTGCAGGTGAGCTACAAGGGGGAGACCAAGGCATTCTACCCCGAGGAGATCTCGTCCATGGTGCTGACCAAGATGAAGGAGATCGCCGAGGCGTACCTGGGCTACCCGGTGACCAACGCGGTGATCACCGTGCCGGCCTACTTCAACGACTCGCAGCGCCAGGCCACCAAGGATGCGGGTGTGATCGCGGGGCTCAACGTGCTGCGGATCATCAACGAGCCCACGGCCGCCGCCATCGCCTACGGCCTGGACAGAACGGGCAAGGGGGAGCGCAACGTGCTCATCTTTGACCTGGGCGGGGGCACCTTCGACGTGTCCATCCTGACGATCGACGACGGCATCTTCGAGGTGAAGGCCACGGCCGGGGACACCCACCTGGGTGGGGAGGACTTTGACAACAGGCTGGTGAACCACTTCGTGGAGGAGTTCAAGAGAAAACACAAGAAGGACATCAGCCAGAACAAGCGAGCCGTGAGGCGGCTGCGCACCGCCTGCGAGAGGGCCAAGAGGACCCTGTCGTCCAGCACCCAGGCCAGCCTGGAGATCGACTCCCTGTTTGAGGGCATCGACTTCTACACGTCCATCACCAGGGCGAGGTTCGAGGAGCTGTGCTCCGACCTGTTCCGAAGCACCCTGGAGCCCGTGGAGAAGGCTCTGCGCGACGCCAAGCTGGACAAGGCCCAGATTCACGACCTGGTCCTGGTCGGGGGCTCCACCCGCATCCCCAAGGTGCAGAAGCTGCTGCAGGACTTCTTCAACGGGCGCGACCTGAACAAGAGCATCAACCCCGACGAGGCTGTGGCCTACGGGGCGGCGGTGCAGGCGGCCATCCTGATGGGGGACAAGTCCGAGAACGTGCAGGACCTGCTGCTGCTGGACGTGGCTCCCCTGTCGCTGGGGCTGGAGACGGCCGGAGGCGTGATGACTGCCCTGATCAAGCGCAACTCCACCATCCCCACCAAGCAGACGCAGATCTTCACCACCTACTCCGACAACCAACCCGGGGTGCTGATCCAGGTGTACGAGGGCGAGAGGGCCATGACGAAAGACAACAATCTGTTGGGGCGCTTCGAGCTGAGCGGCATCCCTCCGGCCCCCAGGGGCGTGCCCCAGATCGAGGTGACCTTCGACATCGATGCCAACGGCATCCTGAACGTCACGGCCACGGACAAGAGCACCGGCAAGGCCAACAAGATCACCATCACCAACGACAAGGGCCGCCTGAGCAAGGAGGAGATCGAGCGCATGGTGCAGGAGGCGGAGAAGTACAAAGCGGAGGACGAGGTGCAGCGCGAGAGGGTGTCAGCCAAGAACGCCCTGGAGTCCTACGCCTTCAACATGAAGAGCGCCGTGGAGGATGAGGGGCTCAAGGGCAAGATCAGCGAGGCCGACAAGAAGAAGGTGCTGGACAAGTGTCAAGAGGTCATCTCGTGGCTGGACGCCAACACCTTGGCCGAGAAGGACGAGTTTGAGCACAAGAGGAAGGAGCTGGAGCAGGTGTGTAACCCCATCATCAGCGGACTGTACCAGGGTGCCGGTGGTCCCGGGCCTGGGGGCTTCGGGGCTCAGGGTCCCAAGGGAGGGTCTGGGTCAGGCCCCACCATTGAGGAGGTAGATTAGGGGCCTTTCCAAGATTGCTGTTTTTGTTTTGGAGCTTCAAGACTTTGCATTTCCTAGTATTTCTGTTTGTCAGTTCTCAATTTCCTGTGTTTGCAATGTTGAAATTTTTTGGTGAAGTACTGAACTTGCTTTTTTTCCGGTTTCTACATGCAGAGATGAATTTATACTGCCATCTTACGACTATTTCTTCTTTTTAATACACTTAACTCAGGCCATTTTTTAAGTTGGTTACTTCAAAGTAAATAAACTTTAAAATTCAAGTGATGCCTTTTATTCCTTTATTTGGGGGTCAGTAGGGTCTGCATAGGTTGTTTTTCCCATAGCGTCTAAAATGGAATGGCATTTTTGCTTCCAGTAAGGGCAGATTTTGCAGAGGTGTGACTATTGTAATGTGATCCATTTGTGTTAGACAAATGGTATCCTCCAGTAAAGCTTCTTGATTCTGGCCAGGAGTGGTGGCTCAAGCCTGTAATCCCAGCACTTTGGGAGGCTGAGGTGGGCGGATCACTTGAGGTCAGGAGTTCCAGACCAACCTGGCCAATGTGGTGAAACCCTGTCTCTACTAAAAACACAAAAATTAGCTGGGCGTGGTGGTGCGTGCCTGTAGTCCCAGGGAGGCTGAGGCAGGAGAATCGTGTGAACCCAGGAAGCAGTGGTAGCAGTGAGCCGAGATCACGCCATTGCACTCTAGCCTGGGCATCACAGCAAGACTCCGTCTCACACACACACACAAAAAAGTAAAGTTTGTTGATGCTGATTGGGTTTAGCCTGAGGGTACAGAAAAAGTTTAACACCTGGGAGGGTAGCCTTAAAGTGATGTTTGTGTAAGATTGGTCTCAAAAGAGGTGGGAGGGGGGCGGGGATGTTTCTGCAAAAGTGGTCAAAAAGAATGCAGTTAGATGGGAGGCCAGCGCTCCTACCTCCTGTAGGTACACCTGATATGCTCATGGACTTGATACTTAATCTAGATTCAACATGGAATGGAAGGAGTGTCCTAAATTTCAAAGTGAAAAAACGGGTACATTCACTGGCTTGCTGAGTTATACACATGTGCTTTAGTTGTCATCTTTTAAAATGGAAGGGTTTGGCTCGATGCCTCTCTCATGACTGAAAGCATACTGAAATAGAAATGTCACATTCTTAGCAGTTATCACCTACAATTTAAGTACGCCAGTGAGCACCCGGGCCAGGAAGACCTACAGACTTCACTCCCATGCACTTTCCCTTGGAGATGCTTCATGCCCCAGCCGCTAGCATCCTAGAAGTAATTCCCTCCTCCTTGGAAAACGCCCACTACAATCCTTAAAGCTCCCGGAGTGAGCCCTTTTAAAAATGAATTGTATCTGGCCGGGCGTGCTGGCTCATGCCTGTAATCCCAGCACTTTGGGAGGCTGAGGCAGGCGGATCACCTGGGGTCAGGAGTTCGAGACCAGCCTGGCCAACATGGTGAGGACCCCCCCCACCACCCACCTCCTGCACTAAAAGTACAAAAATCAGCCAGGCGCGATGGTGTGCGCCTGTAATCCCAGCTATTCGGGAGGCTGAGGCAGGCGAATCGTTTGAACTCAAAGGCAGAGGTTTCAGTGAGCCGAGATTGCGCCACTGCACTCCAGCCTAGGTGACAGAGCGAGACTCCATCTCAAAAAATAAAAATTGTGTCGGCCAGGCGCAGTGGCTCATGCCTGTAATCCCAGCACTTTGGGAGGCCGAGGTGGGTGGATCACCTGAGGTCAGGAGTTCAAGACCAGCCTGGCCAACAGGGTGAAACCCCATCTCTACTAAAAATACAAAAAATTAGCTGGGCGTGGTGGCGGGCACCTATAATCCCAGCAACTTGGGAGGCTGAGGCAGAAGAATCGGTTGAACCCAGGAGGTGGATGTTGCAGTGAGCCAAGATCGTGCCATTGCACTCCAGCCTGAACAATGAGTGAAATTCTGTCTCAGTGAATAAATAAATAAATAGTATCTAAGGGCGATGAAAATGTTTTGGAACCAGAGTTGACGGTTGCATAACATTGTAAAGGTCAAGGCTGCAGTGAGCCATGACTGTACCACTGCACTCCAGCCTGAGCAACAGAGTGAGACCCTGTCTCTAAAAAAAAAAAAAAGAAAAAAAAATCAATTGTATCAATATTACATTAAAGCACTTTATGAGCTTATGTGTACCTCAAAGCCCATCAAACCATTCACTAAATACTTGTTAATGAAGAAAATCCAGTGTTATGGGAAATGATACATAAAGGTAGACCTTGCTTTGGAAGTTTGAAAATAGAAAATAAATATGAAATGCTTAGGTTTCCAGGCCAGTCTACAGAGGAACATTTATCTCTTATGGTAGTTAAACTGTAGTACTGTGGACTCTGGCCACAATGTAAATCAATCTTCATGGGAATATGCCTTTGCTATAGGACCTCCTCTCCCCTTCAGAGCTGCAGTAGCATTTGTGACTCTGATCTGCAGACCCTGTAGTGACTCTAAACCAGGAGCAACTACCACTACTGTGGCATGGAGTGGGGAAAAAGGTAATTGGAAAAGGGTGGAGATGGGGAAGGACCTACCAAATGCCTTTGTTGACACAGTAGAGAAGTCATCAGACATAACATTGAATGGAGGCAATAAGAGAGTTCCTATGGCCCTATCAAGCTTATTAGTAGGTGTTTTAACAAGAAATATGTAAAAATTATTACTTGTCGGCCGGGCGTGGTGGCTCATGCCTGTAATCCCAGCACTCTGGGAGGCCGAGGCGGGTGGCTCACTAGGTCAGGAGTTCAAGACAAGCCTGGCCAAGATGGTGAAACCCCACCTCTACTAAAAATACAAAAATTAGCTAGGCGTGGTGGTGGGCGCCTGTAATCCCAGCTACTCAGGAGGCTGAGGCAGGAGACTCACTTGAACCCGGGAGGTGGAGGTTGCAGTGAGCCGAGATCGTGCCACTGCACTGCAGCCTGGGCGACAGAGCAAGACTCCGTCTCCAAAAAAAAAAAAAAAAAAAAAAAAATTGTTTGCCTGCATACCCTAGCACAGAGTACTGTACCTTGAAATATTCACTTTGTAACCTCAAGAAAAGACGTTGAGGGAGCTGTGGAATTAGCAAAGAGAATGCAGTGCCACCCATAAACGGAGTGATGTTTTGAGGAGCAGAGGAACTTTGAGGGAGGAAAGTGCAACAGGAAAAATAACTGCAGGTGTGGAAAAACAAATATAAATATCTTCTCAATTCCAATCACCTCCTACCTTCCTATACCAGGCCTCAGAAGGCAGCAGGCTATGATAATAAATTTGATTTTATATGGCTTTGAACCCAGGATTTTATTTTATAACATATACACTTACTGTTATTCCTGGTCTTCAAGAGTTCTTGTCATCCTCAAAAAGACAAAAAAGGTACCAAAACAAAAAATTAACTACAGTATTTTATAGATGTGAGAGAAGTGGGCAGAAATAATACGGCTTTAGGCTAAAAAAGGAAATGAGGTTATTTCTTGGGGGAGCCAATATTGGCGATTTCTGAGGGAGCGATCCTTACGTGAATATAAAAAATTGTGACAGCCACCATTCCTCCTGCTAACTGATCTAAATCCATCCCCTTGGGAAACGCCCCTGAGGTATCTATCAGGTGTAGTTCAGCCAGAGGGAGTAAACCCACCGGGCCCTCGTCCTTTCCTAGCACCACCATTTAAAGGGATGTTTGAGGGGTAGGGCAGCGGAGCATTCCAGACACGGAGTTAAACCCGCCCCACCCCGCTGGCCCACGTCCAGCCCGATCAAGAATTGGAGGAGAGAGGAGCAGGGCGTGGTGGCGCGGGCCTGGAGTCCCAGCTACCCGGGAGGCTGGGGCGGGAGGATCGCTTGAGGCTGCAGTGAGCCGTGATTGCGCCACTGCACTCCAGTCTGGGCGACAAAGCGAGACCCTGCCTCAAAAAAAAGTGAAAAAAAAAAAAATTAGAAGGGAGGGCACCAGAGGAGGGCTGGAGCAGGTTCACAGGCTGGGACTACGGAGGAGCCCAGCAACCGAGAATCACTCCTGAGGGTCTAATTTTCTTACTCTCCTGATGCCTCACGGGGCGAGGGACTAGAACGGGGCGCTGAGCTGGCTGTAGGCAAAAGCCAACCGACTCCATCCCCTACTCTCCCATCAGTCGCGCGTCCCCGCGCAGACGGGTGCGCGCTGGCCGTGGGCGGTGGGGACCTTCTCTTCTCGCCTCTGGCCACCCAATGCATCTGATTTAGTTGTATGAAAGTTACAAAATTCTCCAATATTTTCGTCTTGTAAATCACCTAGTATGAGAGAAACTCGAAAGGTCCTTTCTTTCCTCCTTTAATCCCTTTTTGGAAAAAAAAAAACATCAGAAAACGCAGGAGTCGGATAGGCAGCCCCGAAGCCAGCCCCGCCCTCAGGCCCCAGCGGCCCCGCCTTTTCTCCCCCCGCCCCCCCCCCGCACTCCCCACCTTTCCTCCCCTTTGGCTGAGGCTTTTTCCCCCGTCGCTGGCTCTGCCCGAAGTTTCTAGAGTTTTCTGACCTTCAAGGCGAGAACTGCTGTGTCATTCTTAGGGACACTCCCCAACAAACTGCGCCACCCGAGTCTCTCCCTCCTCTCGCCAGCCGGCCCTAAAACATCAAGGTTAGTCAGGACTCTATATTTAACGTCCGGAAGATTCTGTGAACTATATGCCAACCTTGCCCTAGTAACGGGGCTCCCCCCTCCTTTCCCCTCTTTCTGCTTGAGCAATCTGTTCTATCGGAAAGGAGAGGCAGGGCTGGGAGAGCTGGAAGGTGGGGAAGGCAAGAGCTTGTAGGGGCCATGGTCTTGAGTCCGAAGAGCAGAGCAGCAGCCAGGACGGGAGTCCCTGGCTGATCACATACCCGTGGTGCCCTTAATGCTCGCAGAGGCCAACACTGTATTCATTTGTTTTCCTCTTTAGAGAATAAAACAATTAGGTCTAACCACAAAATTAAAAGCAAACAAAACCCAGTTAGGTTGATGAGCCAATGTGGGAAGGAGTACAAAATGAGTGTCAGAACCCGTGGGTCCAATCACCGGTTCTGTAACCTGTCATCTGGGTAACCAGATCAAGCCACTGAACTTCTTTGATCCTTGGTGCTGTCTTTGAAAATGAAAAGGTTTGACTGAATGGCCTGTGCCCGCAGATCTTAGGACAGTTTTTACATTAAGCTGAAAGCAGCTGTAGTCCTAATAATGGTCCCCAACTTTTAAACACCTAAATAAGAATGACTACGAGTCATATCCGAGAGTATGGGATCCCCAATAAAAGGAGGGAGAAGATCATATTCTCTTTGATCATGTAGGGAAAAAAAATTTTTTTATTCGAGACAGGATCTCTGTCTCCCAGGCTGGAATGCAGTGGCGTGATCATAGCTCACTGCAGCCTTGACCTCTTGTGCTCAAGCGATCCTCCTGCCTCAGCCTCCCAAGTAGCTGGGACTACAGGCACCTGCCACCACGCCCAGCTAACTTGTAAAGTTTTTAGTAGAGATGGTGTCCCACTATGTTGCCCAGGCTGATCTTGGACTTCTGAGTTCAAGTGCCTGCCTTGGCTTCCTAAAGCACTGGGATTACCGACCTGAGTCACCACACGCAGTTCAGTTATTGTTAATTATGTTTTAGAGATGAACACGTCGAAACTTGTGTTATTTAGTCAATGTACAAGTACTTCCTTGTTGAAAAGAAAAACAGCCTCACCAAAGAAGTAGAGCGCAGATGCAAATCCAGGATTTTCCCTTCCCAGATTTTTTCTTTCCATGCTGCTAGAAATGGCCAGGGTTCTCTTTGTCATTGAAGCATTTGTCATTCATTCAGTTAAGAATGCCTGCCTCTAGATTTCATATCAATTAACTCTTTTGCTTTCATTTAAGTTCATTTGGATAAACTTAAAATTATAACAGCTTTTTTTTTTAATTTATTATTTTTTTGAGACAGAGTCTTGCTCTGTCACCCAGACTGGAGTGTAGTGGTGCGATCTCAGCTCACTGCAACCTCCACCTCCCAGGTTCAAGTGATTCTCCTGCCTCAGCTCCTGAGTAGCTGGGATTACAGATGTGCACCACCACGTCCGGCTAATTTTTGTGTTTTTAGGAGAGAAGGGGTTTTGCCATGTTTGCCGGGCTGGTCTTGAACTCCTGATCTCAGGTGATCCACCCATCTCGGCCTCCCAAAGTGCTGGGATTACATGCATGAGCCATCGCGCCCGGCCTATACCATCTTTTAAAATGAACAAAATTAAGAAAACTACTGTTTGAGGAACTATAAAAAGGAGAGGGAGAAGGAAGGAAAAGACCCTGCAGCGTCAGCCTGAAGAAGGCTGTCTTACCCCACACTGCTGTAGCAATTATGTTCTTGGCACTCCCTCTTCAGTTCTCTTGTCCCTTTGAAAGCATCTAACCTGGCTTTCACTTTGGGGACTCTGAGCTCTGATCCTTCCAAACACAGAATCCAATAAAAACCTAATTCTGAAATTAATCACATTAAAGTTCTGAAAAATCTCCTGGGGTTCTTATATATTCACCTTAGACAGCAATTAAACTTGTGACTGGATTTCTGCCTTGGGAAGCATCCAGTCTGAAAGGAAAGAAAAGGCCGGCGTGGTGCTTCATGCCTGTAATTCCAGCACTTTGGGCGGCCCAGACGGGCGGATCACTTGAGGTCAGGAGTTCGAGACCAGACTGGCCAACATGACGAAACCCCCTCTCTACTAAAAATACAAAAATTAGCCAGGCGTGGTGGTGTGCACCTGTAATCCCAGCCACTCAGGAGGCTGAGGCAGGAGAATCGCTTGAACCTGGGAGGTGGAGGTTGCAGTGAGCCAAGACTGTGCCATTGCACTCCAGCCTGGGCGACAGAGCAAGACTCTGTCTCAAAAAAAAAAAAAAGAAAAAAAAAAGAAAATTCAGGTGACCCTCTCCTTGTCAGGAAATGGACAAGGAATATGTATGTGTGGGTTTCCAGTCTAGTCCACAGAGGCTTCACTTAAAAGCTAGGTCAACTATAGCACTGTAGACTCTGACTAGTGTGACTGATTGAAGAAAAACAGCATTTATATTGGATTTTTCTGCTATCCAGAGAGCACCCAAGATTTGGGGTCCCAACACCACATCTACTTGCTAGGCAGTTGAGACAGTGATGCCCTTTGCTTCATGCCAATAGAGAGGTTTTTTCTCCCCCTCTCCCACCCCCCACTCCCCACTTTTTATGTTTCTCAGCAGAATCAGAGAAGTATTTTATTTTTGAGAAGGAGTTTCGCTCTTGTTGCCCAGGCTGGAGTGCAGTGGCGCGATCTCGGCTCACCGCAACCTCCGCCTCCTGGGTTCAAATGATTCTCCTGCCTCAGACTCCCAAGTAGCTGGGATTACAGGCATGCGCCACCATGCCCAGGTAATTTTTTTTTTTTTTTTTTTTGGTATTTTTAGTAGAGACCGGCTTTCTCCATGTTGGTCAGGCTGGTCTCGAATTTCTGACCTCAGGTGATCTGCTGCTTCGGCCTCCCAAAGTGCTGGGATTACAGGTGTGAGCCACTGTGCTGGCCTTTTAAATTGTGGATTTGGAAGGAGGGAAGGAATGAATCCAGACCTGCCAGTAGTAGCAGTTGATGGTGAGGAAGTTTCCAGAGGGAGGGGTGAGGTTAAGGGTCTCTGGAAGTGTTGATACACTGTGCAGCTAAGATGAACATAGTTTGGGAGAATCTCCAGCCAGACATTTCATAGAGAAATGTTTGGGAAAATTCCTGAAGTTTGACCGGTTTGACTAGTTTAGAGAGGTGATTCATTAGGGAGCTAAAGCTGAATGTGAAAGTTATCACCTACCTGCACATACAGACACACACATATTGTTAAAGCAATTTATTTGCAACATGAGTTTAGATCAGTGAATTATAAACAAATGAATACCCTTAAATTCCAGGAAGAGGTGTTTTGATAGTGGACAGGTGTGTGTGTGCAGGTGTGCATATGAAAAGTGCCAATTGAGCAAAGTGTTTAAAAACAGGATTATTCCTTCATCAGTAACTTCTTCCTTTCATTTGTGCTCAAGGAATATCGCCATGGCAATGAGGCTATTTTTTTTTTCTTTTCTTTTTTTTTTTTGTGGTAGGTTGTAAACACAGTACTATTGCTTCAACCCCCTCACATTTTCCTTTCAGACGCCTAACAAAGGGTCTTGCATTCACACTAAGAATGAAGGAAAAAAACAAAGGGAAAGTAAATTACTAAATGCAACCGTATTTAAAACAGGAGGAAGGAGAATCCGCAGGAAGTTGGAATCTAGGATAAAAACTTAGACACATTCAGCCTGGCCAACATGGCGAAACCCTGTCTCTATTAAAAATACAAAAATTAGCCCGGCGTGGTGGCACATCCTGTAATTCCAGCTATTGGGGAGGCTGAGGCAGCAGAATTGTTTGAACCCCAGGGGCAGAGGTTGCAATGAGCAGAGATCTCACCACTGCACTCCAGCCTGGGCGACAGAGTGAGACTCAGTCTCAAAACAAACAAACAAAAACAACAGGCCGGGAATGGTGGCTCACGCCTGTAATCCCAGCACTTTGGGAGCCCGAGGTGGGCGGATCACGAGGTCAGGAGTTCGAGACCAGCCTGACCAACATGGGCGGATCACGAGGTCAGGAGTTCGAGACCAGCCTGACCAACATGGGGAAACCCTGTCTCTACTAAAAATACAAAAATTAGCCAGGCGTGGTGGCGCACGCCTGTAATCCTAGCTACTCAGGAGGCTGAGGTAGGAGAATTGCTTAAACCCGGGAGGCGGAGGTTGCAGTGAGCCGAGATCACGCCACTGCACTCCAGCTTGGGCGACAGAGCGAGACTGTCTCAAAACGAAAACAACAAACTTAAGACACATAACCTGAGGTGTTAAGAGGAGCTAGTAACTAGAACCTGGGTCCCAACCCCTCCTGCTTTCCAGCATCACTCCACACAGTTTGCTTAAAGAGGGCCACCTGCCAAACAGCTGTAGTATGTGATGTTAAAGAGAGCTAAACACCCCCCGCACCTCCCTCCCAGGGTCACCATCTTGTTAAATTTGACCTAAAAACGGTAACAGCCTAGGGGTTTCAGGGACAGACAGAAAATCTTACTCGGGACTGTGAGGTCCTACTTCTACACACCGTCCAGGAGTGAACCAGGAATTGAGAAAGTAGGAAGGAGGTGTCCCAGACCCCAAGCTAGGAATGGGGAGGGAAATGGAGGAATCCCAAATGCCTTAAGGACGGCCTACATACTAAGGAAAATTTTTTTCTAACTCCTGGTTGCAGCTGAGGGGAGCGGCTGAGGGCGGGGACAGGGGTGCGGCGGACCCACTGCTCCCATTACCCGACCAGCGCCTCCCTTCCTCCTTGGATGGGTGCCCCTGTCTTGCTAAGAACTGCCTGTTTACACAACTGCTTTCCTTGTGAAAATTTAAAGGCTCCTATTCCCAGTTGTTCTATCCTTGTAGGTTAAAGATTATGTCAAAAACTATATTGCATTATCTCTTTCCTTCTCCTTCCCATTAAGACGGAAAAAACATCCGGGAGAGCCGGTCCGTTTCTCAGGCAGACTAGGCCATTAGGTGCCTCGGAGAAAGGACCCAAGGCTGCTCCGTCCTTCACAGACACAGTCCAATCAGAGTTTCCCAGGCACATCGATGCACCGCCTCCTTCGAGAAACAAGGTAACTTTCGGGTTCTGGTTGTCTCCAAAGTCATCCGACCAATCTCGCACCGCCCAGAGCGGGCCCTTCCTGTCAATTACCTACTGAAGGGCAGGCGGCCAGCATCGCCATGGAGACCAACACCCTTCCCACCACCACTCCCCCTTTCTCTCAGGGCCCCTGTCCCCTCCAGTGAATCCCAGAAGACTCTGGAGAGTTCTGAGCAGAGGGCGGCACCCTGCCCTCTGATTGGTCCAAGGAAGGCTGGGGGGCAGGACGGGAGGCGAAACCCCTGGAATATTCCCGACCTGGCAGCCTCATCGAGCTTGGTGATTGGCTCAGAAGGGGAAAGGCGGGTCTCCACGACGACTTATAAAAGCCGAGGGGCGCGCGGTCCGGAAAACGGCCAGCCTGAGGAGCTGCTGCGAGGGTCCGCTTCGTCTTTCGAGAGTGACTCCCGCGGTCCCAAGGCTTTCCAGAGCGAACCTGTGCGGCTGCAGGCACCGGCGTGTTGAGTTTCCGGCGTTCCGAAGGACTGAGCTCTTGTCGCGGATCCCGTCCGCCGTTTCCAGCCCCCAGTCTCAGAGCGGAGCCCACAGAGCAGGGCACCGGCATGGCCAAAGCCGCGGCGATCGGCATCGACCTGGGCACCACCTACTCCTGCGTGGGGGTGTTCCAACACGGCAAGGTGGAGATCATCGCCAACGACCAGGGCAACCGCACCACCCCCAGCTACGTGGCCTTCACGGACACCGAGCGGCTCATCGGGGATGCGGCCAAGAACCAGGTGGCGCTGAACCCGCAGAACACCGTGTTTGACGCGAAGCGGCTGATCGGCCGCAAGTTCGGCGACCCGGTGGTGCAGTCGGACATGAAGCACTGGCCTTTCCAGGTGATCAACGACGGAGACAAGCCCAAGGTGCAGGTGAGCTACAAGGGGGAGACCAAGGCATTCTACCCCGAGGAGATCTCGTCCATGGTGCTGACCAAGATGAAGGAGATCGCCGAGGCGTACCTGGGCTACCCGGTGACCAACGCGGTGATCACCGTGCCGGCCTACTTCAACGACTCGCAGCGCCAGGCCACCAAGGATGCGGGTGTGATCGCGGGGCTCAACGTGCTGCGGATCATCAACGAGCCCACGGCCGCCGCCATCGCCTACGGCCTGGACAGAACGGGCAAGGGGGAGCGCAACGTGCTCATCTTTGACCTGGGCGGGGGCACCTTCGACGTGTCCATCCTGACGATCGACGACGGCATCTTCGAGGTGAAGGCCACGGCCGGGGACACCCACCTGGGTGGGGAGGACTTTGACAACAGGCTGGTGAACCACTTCGTGGAGGAGTTCAAGAGAAAACACAAGAAGGACATCAGCCAGAACAAGCGAGCCGTGAGGCGGCTGCGCACCGCCTGCGAGAGGGCCAAGAGGACCCTGTCGTCCAGCACCCAGGCCAGCCTGGAGATCGACTCCCTGTTTGAGGGCATCGACTTCTACACGTCCATCACCAGGGCGAGGTTCGAGGAGCTGTGCTCCGACCTGTTCCGAAGCACCCTGGAGCCCGTGGAGAAGGCTCTGCGCGACGCCAAGCTGGACAAGGCCCAGATTCACGACCTGGTCCTGGTCGGGGGCTCCACCCGCATCCCCAAGGTGCAGAAGCTGCTGCAAGACTTCTTCAACGGGCGCGACCTGAACAAGAGCATCAACCCCGACGAGGCTGTGGCCTACGGGGCGGCGGTGCAGGCGGCCATCCTGATGGGGGACAAGTCCGAGAACGTGCAGGACCTGCTGCTGCTGGACGTGGCTCCCCTGTCGCTGGGGCTGGAGACGGCCGGAGGCGTGATGACTGCCCTGATCAAGCGCAACTCCACCATCCCCACCAAGCAGACGCAGATCTTCACCACCTACTCCGACAACCAACCCGGGGTGCTGATCCAGGTGTACGAGGGCGAGAGGGCCATGACGAAAGACAACAATCTGTTGGGGCGCTTCGAGCTGAGCGGCATCCCTCCGGCCCCCAGGGGCGTGCCCCAGATCGAGGTGACCTTCGACATCGATGCCAACGGCATCCTGAACGTCACGGCCACGGACAAGAGCACCGGCAAGGCCAACAAGATCACCATCACCAACGACAAGGGCCGCCTGAGCAAGGAGGAGATCGAGCGCATGGTGCAGGAGGCGGAGAAGTACAAAGCGGAGGACGAGGTGCAGCGCGAGAGGGTGTCAGCCAAGAACGCCCTGGAGTCCTACGCCTTCAACATGAAGAGCGCCGTGGAGGATGAGGGGCTCAAGGGCAAGATCAGCGAGGCGGACAAGAAGAAGGTTCTGGACAAGTGTCAAGAGGTCATCTCGTGGCTGGACGCCAACACCTTGGCCGAGAAGGACGAGTTTGAGCACAAGAGGAAGGAGCTGGAGCAGGTGTGTAACCCCATCATCAGCGGACTGTACCAGGGTGCCGGTGGTCCCGGGCCTGGGGGCTTCGGGGCTCAGGGTCCCAAGGGAGGGTCTGGGTCAGGCCCTACCATTGAGGAGGTGGATTAGGGGCCTTTGTTCTTTAGTATGTTTGTCTTTGAGGTGGACTGTTGGGACTCAAGGACTTTGCTGCTGTTTTCCTATGTCATTTCTGCTTCAGCTCTTTGCTGCTTCACTTCTTTGTAAAGTTGTAACCTGATGGTAATTAGCTGGCTTCATTATTTTTGTAGTACAACCGATATGTTCATTAGAATTCTTTGCATTTAATGTTGATACTGTAAGGGTGTTTCGTTCCCTTTAAATGAATCAACACTGCCACCTTCTGTACGAGTTTGTTTTTTTTTTTTTTTTTTTTTTGCTTGGCGAAAACACTACAAAGGCTGGGAATGTATGTTTTTATAATTTGTTTATTTAAATATGAAAAATAAAATGTTAAACTTTTTCTTGTCTGTTAATATGTGAAGATAATGGATATTTGCGGAGGGATAGTGTCTGAATACCATCTATCTTTATAGTCTGAAAAGAACAGTACTGCTGAAGAGTTATACGTGTAGGAGTTAGAGCTACACATATTTTTGTTTGGGCTTAATTGTGGGCCTTAAGAGAAATTGCAGGTGCCCGTCTTGATTAGAGTGGGGCTTGTTTCAGGGAAAAGTCGGATGGCAGCTGCAAAACGGTATTGGAGGGGTGGTTGAGGTGGGTTCACTGGGGCGGGGAGGGGAGGGGTGGTGCTGAGATGGGATTATGGTGGTTTTCTCTCCCTCTTCTACTTAGTGAGCGGAGTCCACAAAAAAATGCTGACTTTTTTTTTTTTTTTTTTTTGAGACGGAGTCTCACTCTCACTCTTGTCGCCCAGGCTGGAGTGCAGTGGCGCAATCTCAGCTCACGGTAACTTCCGCCTCCCGGGTTCAAGCGATTCTCCTGCCTCAGCCTCCTGAGTAACTGGGACTACAGGCGCCTGCCACCACGCCTGGCTAATTTTTTGTATTTTTGGTAGAGACAGGGTTTTACCGTGTTAGCCAGGATGGTCTCAATCTCCTGACCTCGGCTCATATTCATTTATATGTGGAATCTAAACAGTAGAACTCAGAAGCAGAGAAGTGGTGGTCACCAAGGGCTGTGGGATGGGGGAATGGGGAGACGTGCAAGGGAAACAAAGCCTTAGTCAGGAGAAATAAATTGTATTTTTTTTTTTTTGAAACGGGATATTGCTCTGTCACCCAGGCTGGAGCACAGTAGAGCTCACTGTAGTCTCAAACTCCTGGGTTCAAGCAATCCTCCCACCTTAGCCTCCTGAGTACTGGGTCTACAGGTATGTGCCATCATGCTCAGCTAATTTTTTGTATTTTGTAGAGACGAAGTCTTGCTGTGTTGCCCAGGTTGGTCTCGAACTCTTCAGCTCAAGCGATCCCCTTGTCTAGTCCTCCCAAAGTGCTGGGATTATAGGCGTGAGCCACTGTGCCCTGCCAGTTTTTGTGTTTTTTTTTGGGGGGGTGGTGGGTGGAGGGTATATATTGCATGGCATGGTGAAAATAGTTAATAGTGTATTGTATATTTCAAAATTTCAAATGTTCTTGTCACAAAAATATTTGAGGTGATATGTTAATTAGCTTGATTTAATTACTCCATATTGTGTTAATAACTACTTTGTACCAATATATGCAACTAAAGTTTGTCAATTTACAAAAAGAATTTAAAAATCAAATAAAATGGGCCAGGTGCGATGGCTCATGCCTATAATCCCAGAATTTAGGGAGGGTGAGGTGGGCGGATCACTTGAGGTCCGGAGTTCAAAACCAGCCTGGCCAACATAGCGAAAACCCATCTCTACAAAAAACAATAGAATTAGCTGGCCGGGCGTGGGGGCTCACGCCTGTAATCCCAGCACTTTGGGAGACCGAGGTGGGACGGTTGGATCACCTAAGGTCAGGAGTTCCAGACCAGCCTGGTCAACATGGTGAAACCCTGTCTCTACTAGGTGGGCACGGTGGGGCATGTCTATAATCCCAGCTACATGGAAGGCTGAGGAAGGAGAATCACTTGAACCCTGGAGGCGGAGGTTGTAGTGAGTTGAGATTGCGCCACTGTACTCCACCCTGGGTGACAGAGCAATACTTCATCTCAAAAAAACATAAATAAAACGGTTAAAGTCCTGTGTTGCACCTTTGTGTAAATCCTTACCCTCTAGGGTTTTAAAATGTTTTAAATCCTTAAAACGTTTTAAGGATTACATAATACTGGAAATCCTCCTTGAAAGTGTATAAAAGAAAAGGAATATAGTAAGTTTCTTTGGTTTTGGGGCCAAGTTTTTTTTTTTTTTTTTTTTTTTTGAGACAGAGTTTCACTTTTGTTGCCCAGGCTGGAGTACAGTGGAGCAATCTCGGCTCACTGCAACCTCTACCTCCCAGGTTCAAACGATTCTCCTGCCTCAGCCTCCCAAGTAGCTGGGATTACAGGCACCGGCCACTATGCTCAGCTAATTTTTTGTATTTTTAGTACAGACGAGGTTTCCGCCATGTTGGGCAGGCTGGTCTCGAACTCCTGACCTCAGGTGATCTGCCTGCCTTGGCCTCCCAAAGTGCTGGGATTATAGGCGTGAGCCACTATGCCCGGCCCTTGGGCCAATTCTTAAAGGCCTGTTTTATTAATGAAAGAGATGAACTAGGCCAGGCGCGGTGGCTCACACCTATAATCCCAGCACTTTGGGAGGCCGAGGCGGGCGGATCACCTGAGGTCTGGAGTTCGAGACCAGCCTGACCAACATGGAGAAACCCCATCTCTACTAAAAATACAAAATTAGCCGGGTGTGGTGGCGCATGCCTGTAATCCCAGCTACCCTGGAGGCTGAGGCAGGAGAATGGCTTGAACCTGGGAGGCGGAGGTTGCTGTGAGCCGAGATCGCGCCATTGCACTCCAGCCTGGGCAACAAGAGCGAAACTCTGTCTCAAAAAAAAAAAAAAAAAAAAAAAAGAGGAACTAAAGCCTCTGACCATAGCACTTAGTAAAGGCAGCTTAACTGCCAAAACAGCAGGAATTAGGGCTTTCTGTATATATATATATTTTTTTTAAGGCAGGGTCTCACTCTGTTGCCCAGGCTAGAGTGCAGTGGTATGATCACGGTTCATGGCAGCCTCGACCTCCTGGGCTCAATTGATCCTTAGCCTCCTGATTAGCTGGGACTACACGTGTATGCCACCACCCATAGCTAATCTTTTTTTTATATACTTGCCAGGCAGTAGAGGGAACAAATACTTTAGCTTTGAGCCATGGCTCTCCACCGTAATGGAACAATAAAACGATTAAGGGATGCTAAAAAAATACAGATGCCAGGCCTCTCTCAGGCCAATTCAGAATCTCAAAGAGGGCAGTGTAGACATTTAAAGCTGCCCAGGTGTTTGTAATTTGCAGCCAATGTGGAGAAAACCACTGAACTGGGCTGGCCACGGTGGCTCACGCCTGTAATCCCAGCACTTTGGGAGGCCGAGGTGGGAGGATCACTGAGGTTCACCAGTTCAAAACCAGCCTGGGCCAACATGGTGAAAACCCCTGTCTCTACTAAAAATATATAAAATTAACTGGGTGTGGTGGCAGATGCCTGTAATCTCAGCTACTCAGGAGGCTGAGGCAAGAGAATCACTTGAACCTGGGAGGCAGAGGTTGTAGTAAGCCGTGCCACTGCACTCCAATCTGGGTAACAGAGCAAGACCCTATCTCAAAAAAAAAAAAAAGAAAAAGAAAAAAAAAAAAAAGGAAGAGGCCAGGCTCGGTGGCTCACACCTATAATCCTGGCACTTTGTGGAGGCCTAGGCAGGCAAATCACCTGAAGTCAGGAGTTCGAGACCAGCCTGGCTTACATGGTGAAACCCTGACTCTACTAAAAATATAAAAATTAGCCAGGCATGGTTGTGTGCACCTGTAATCCTTGCTACTTCGGAGGCTGAGGCAGGAAAATCGCTTGAACCGAGGAAGCGGAGGTTGCAGTGAGCCGAGATCCCGCCACTGCTCTCCAGCCTGGGCAACAGAGTCAGACTCCGTCTCAAAAAAGAAAAAGATACCAACACACACAACACACATCACCAAACATCATACGCGTTTATAAATGGGGGCGATAGGAAAGGGTCCAGAAAGGATTTGAAATGACTTATGAGTTTCAATAATTTTTTTTTTTTTGAGACAGAGTCTCGCCCTGTCGCCCAGGCTGGAGTGCAGTGGCGCAATCTCGGCTCACTGCAAGCTCGGCGTCCTGGGTTCACGCCATTTTCCTGCCTCAGCCTCCCGAGTAGCTGGGACTACAGGCGCCGCCACCACACTCTGCTAATTTTTTTTTAGTAGAGACGGGGTTTCACCGTGTTAGCCAGGATGGTCTCGATCTCCTGACCTCGTGATCCACCTGCCTCGGCCTCTCAAAGTGCTGGGATTACAGGCGTGAGCCACCGCGCCCGGCCTAATTTTTAAATAAATAGAGACGGGGGTTGGGTGTCACTATTTGCCCAGGCTGGTCCCGAACTCCGGGCCTCAAATGATCCTCTGCCTGGGCCTGTCCAAAGTGTTGAGATTACAGGCGTGACCTATTACGTCCGACCTGCCTTTTGGGTTTTTGGTTTTTGTTTTGTTTTGTTTAATTGAAGGTTAGGGTGCCTGACAGTCTGCGGGATCGAACTGGGAGGCAAATTCAGATTTCGCTGGGGGAACGGAGTGCGAAGTGTCAGGGTAGCTGGACGCTAAACTGGCGCAGCTGCGCGCGCCCGCGCGCGCGCGGGAAGAGTCCCAGGGTCATTAACGGACCATGGGCTGCTGGGAAACGGCTTAGGAGCAGCACCCGGCTGGCGCTGGCCGGCCGGCGCCGGGGACTTTCTTCCGCCTGGCCAGACAGATCCCTGTTTTTTGTTTTTCAAAATTCAGAAAGCATCTCCGAATATTTGCCCAGAGGAGTGTGAAACATACTTTCCTGGTCTTTCTTTCACTTTGTTTTATTTCTGTGTGGACAAACAATGGGGAAAATGCCGCGCGTCTAGCCAGGCAGATAAGAAAACAACTATACCCGTCAGGCCCCCAACCCGGCGCCGCCATAAATGGCCCCGGCCTCGCCATTTTAGTTCTTTTTGCGAAGTGGGCTCGTGGGTTGGCAGTATGAGAGTTGTAATGGCCCGACTGTTGAGTGAGGGGGAGCAGGGGATCCCAACGGCTTGCGCTGCCTTTGCGCAGCAGCCGGCGGGCGGCCACGTCGCGGCCTGGCTGGGGTAGGAGAGGGCGGTCCCCAGTGCAGTTGGGTGAACTACCGTTGCACACTGGAGTTTCTGGTGTCTTTGCTTGGAACTGACCTAGCTCGTGGCAGGGGGAACTCGGCTAGCGGCCCCACAGCCCCTGCTGACTCAAAACAACTGTGAGTGGGGTTGGGCGAGTGATTGCAAAATGGGGGTGGCGGTCGCCCGGGGATAGGAAGGGAGTGATGATGACCCCAGGTAACTCTGAGTGTGTCGCTGATGCCATCACCGCAGCGCTCTGACCGCCCCCTCGGTCCAGCATTTCTCAGGCTCAACGAGTTCATGGCCAAGATTCCTAATCTTTTGTTCTGTTTCATTTCCCCGTTAGGAGTTGTAAGACGTTCATCGCCGTGTTATCCTTGAGTAAAGGTGAGTATTAGGTGCGAGAGCCTTTTGAATGCCTCTTCGGAAAGCTTTGTTCCCAAGCAAGCTTTCGTTCATGGGCATTATGCGCCTCCCTGCCCTTTTTTTTTTTTTTTTTTTTTTGAGACAGTCTCGCCTTGTCACCCAGGCTGAAGTGCGGTGGCACGATCTCACTGCAACCTGCGCCTTCTGGGATCAAGCGATTCTCCTGCCTCAGCCTCCCGATTAGCTGGGATTACAGGCGCATGCCACCAAGCCTGGCTAATTTTTTGTATTTTTTAATAGATAAGGGGTTTCACTGTGTTAGCCAGGATGGTCTCGATCTGCTGACCTCGTGATCCGCCCCTCTCGGCCTCCCAAAGTGCTGGGATTACAGGCGTGAGCCACCGCGCCCGGCCTTTTTTTTTTTTTTTTTTTTAAGACAGCCTCCCTGTCACCCTGGCTGGAATGCAGTGGCAAGAACACAATTCAGTGCGGCCTTCAACTCCCGGGTTTAACCGATTCTCCCACCTTAGCCAATTTTTTCCTTTTTTTTTTTTTTTTTTGAGATGGAGTCTTGATCTTGTTGCCCGGGCTGGCAATGGTACGATCTCCCTGCAACCTCTGCCTCCCGGGTTCAATCGATTGTCCTGCCTCAGCCTGCCGATTAGCTGGGACTACAGGCCCGCGCCACCACACTCGGCTAATTTTTCTGTTTTTAGTAGAAGGGGTTTCACCATGTTGGCCAGGATGGTCTCCATCTCCTGACCTCGTGAGCCGCTGTGCCCGGCCACTTTTTCTTTTTTGAGCTATAATCCATGTACCACAGGTGGTGACTTCCATTTGTTTGTTTTTGCTATTTTGTTTTTGAGACAGGGCGCAATGCCAGGATCTCCCTGCAACATCCACCGTCAGGGCTCAAGTGGTCTTTCCACCTCAGCTTCCTGGGACTGCAGGCACGTGCTACCACCACGCCTGGCTAATTTTTAGTTTTTTTACAGAAGCGGGCTTTTGCCATGTTGTCCAGGCTGGTCTCTACTCCTGGGCTCAAGCAGTCCTCCTGCCTCAGTCTCCCAAAGTGCTGGAATTACAGGGGTGAGTTGCTGCGTCTGGTGTTGGTGACTTTCTAGAGATTACTTTTTGGTTTACATCATTTTCCTTGTGACTATTTTTACTTTTTTGGGGGGCGGGGGGACAGTCTTACTCTTTTTAGTTTACATCATTTTCCTTGTGACTATTCTATTTTTACTTTTTTAGGGGGCGGGGGGACATGAGTCTCACTCATGTTGGTCAGGCTGGTCTCAAACTCCTGACCTCAGTTGATCCACGCCCTTCGGCCTCCCAAAGTGCCGGGATTACAGGCGTGAGCCACTTTGCCCGGCCTGTATTTTTACGTTTTAATAAATCCCCGTATTTTTGTTAAAGGCTGGGTAACCTGACTCCTCCCCTCATTTCTACTGCAAAATAGGAGTACACTGGGGCCTCCCAGTGGAGCTGTTCTCTGCTGTTTTAAATTACTTTCTACTCCTCCCTTTCTAACGTCCACTCCTGGACTCATTTGTTAGATCAATATATACTGGGACTGTTGTGTTTTCTTTGAGTGTACTAGATCTCTTTCCAGAAGAGCTTCCCTTGATCCAGATCTCCCTAATTGGGAATGATGATTTCACAGACTAGAGTCTCCGATGCTGGTCATGATGTCAAAACTAAGTTCTGACTCATTTAGGGAACTGGATACTTGGGTCTCCAGAAGGGCCAATGGGAGGGCCATAATTCTGTTTATTTTCAAATTGTCTTGTTTTCACCTTGTTAGAATGAACTCTGGAAGCCCAGCCAGGGACAATGCACCTTCACAGAGATTCTGCACTAATCTGAGTGAAGGTCTAAGGTTTGGAATCTCCCCCTCATGGAGAGAAGCTTTGTATGGCTGTCATGCTTAGACAGTGATTCCTGCAACTTGACCTTCAGGCTGGGAGAGGTGGAGAGCCATGCCTGTTCTCCTTCCTTGCTATGGTGAGTATCTTTTGTTTTGGCTCTCAGTGGGAGTGGTAATGATGATCTGGTTGGACAAGAGTCTCTGAGCTTTTCTCTGAGGATCTTTGAACCCACCTGATCCACCTTCATCCTGCCGGCAATCTCCTGTAATTCATGTTTTTATGGCCAGTTACTTACATGATGAGGTTTAATTGGCTATGGTTCTGCAGGATGTACAGGAAGCATGGTGTTGGCATCTGCTCAGCCTCTGGTGGGGGCCTCAGGAAACTATATTGCATAAGGTACAGAGGGAAGCAGGGATGTAGCATGGCCAGAGCAGCAGCAAAGGCAGGGAGGTGCCACACATTTTTAATAAATTGATCTCTAGAGAACTGACTGTCATGAGCACAGCATCAAGGAGGATGGTGCTTAAGCCATTCATGAGGAATCCACCCCAGTGATCCATTACAATTCAATATGAGATTTGGTGGGGAGACAGATCTAAACTGTATTACAGGGTCTCACTTTGTGCACAGGCTGGTCTTCAACTCCTGCCTCAGTGAGCCACTGTGCCCCACCCCAACATGTTTTGTGTGTTTTTTGAGACTGTCTTGCTCTGTCATCCAGGCTGGAGTGCAGTGGTACACTCTTGGCTTACTGCAGCCTCTGCCTCCCAGGTTCAAGCAATTCTGCCTCAGCCTCCCAAGTAGCTGGGATTACAGGCATGCGCCACCAGTCCCGGCTAATTTTTGTATTTTTAGTAGAGGGTTTCACCATGTTGGCCGGGCTGGTCTTGAACTCCTGACCAAGAGATCTGCCCACCTTGACCTCCCAAAGTGCTCAGATTACAGGTATTAGCCACCGAGCCCAGCCCGCAACATGTATTTTTATTTATTTTTTGTTTGAGATGGAGTTTCACTTTGTCGCCCAGGCTGGAGTGCAGTGGCACATTCTCAGCTCATTGTAACCTCAGCCTCCCGAGTACTTGGGATTACAGGCATGCGCCACCATGCCCAGCTAATTTTGTATTTTTAGTAGAGATGGGAGTTTTCACCATGTTGGTCTTGAACTCCTGATCTCAGGTGATTTGCCCGCCCTAGCCTCCCAAAGTGCTGGGATTACAGGTGTGAGCCATAGCATCTGACAATTTTATTCTATTTTTTGAGACAGTCTTGCTCTGTCACCCAGGCTGGAGTGCAGTGGTGCAGTCACAGCTCACTGCAGCCTCAACCTCCTGGGTGGAAGCTCACCTCTCACCTCACCCTTGGAGTAGCTAATGACTTACAGGCATGCACCACTATCCCCGGCTAATTTTTTTTTTTTTAAATTTGAGGATGGGTGTGGTGGCTCATGCCTGTAATCTCAGCTCTTTGGGAGGCCAAGGTGGGTGGATCACCTGAGGTCAGGAGTTGAAGACCAGCCTGGCCAACACCGTGAAACCCTGTCTACTAAAAATACAAAAATTAGCTGGGCATGGGTGGCGGGCGCCTGTAATTCCAGCTACTTGGGAGGCTGAGGCAGAAGAATCGCTTGAACCTGGGAGGTGGAGGTTGCAGTGAGCTGATATGGCGCCATTGCACTGCGCCATTGCACTTCACCCTGGGCAACAGAGCAAGACTCCATCTCAAAAAAAAAAAGCTGTAGATAATGGGGTCCCACTATGGTGCTCAAGCTGGTCTGAAACTCCTGGGCTCAAGTGATTGTCTTGCCTTGGCCTCCGAACACTTCTGCCTTGGCCTCCCAAAGTGTTGGAATTGACAGGCGTGAGCTGCCATGCCCAGCCTCAGCTTTTATTGTAGATTTAGGGGGTATATGTGCAGTTTTGTTACTTGGGTTCATTGTATGATGCTGAGGTTTGGGGTAGGATTATCCCCATCACCCAGGTAGTGGGCATAGTACCCAATAGTTATTAAACCTTTGCCCCATTTCCTCTCCCCAGTGTCTGTTGCCATCTTTATGTCCATGTATACTCAACATTTAGCTCCCACTTACAAGTAAGAACATATGGTATCTGGTTTTCTGTTCTGTATTGATTCACTGAGGATCATGGCCTGTGGTTGCATCCATGTTGCTGCAAAGGATATGAAATCGTTTTTTTATTGGTGCATCTCATATGGTTCTAATGTTCTTTTTATTATTTTTCAGGAATTTGCTGACACAATATCTTCCGCCTGGTGCTGGGCATATCCTAAGAACTTACAACTTTCCTGTATTATCCTGTGTGAGCAGCTGTCACCTTATTGGGGGAAAAATGCCTGAAAATTAGGGGGCACTTCAAGTAGATAGCTTCTATTTCCTATATTTGTCTTATATACAAGTATTTGCTTTTATCAAAATAATTCCAATAAAGCATTTTAAAGTAAAGAAGACGTGGTTTGGTCTCAGAACAATGGTACAAAAAGATTAAGGGGGCTGGGCGCAAGTTGCTCATGCCTATAATCCCAGCACTTTGGGAGGCCGAGGTGGGTGGATCACAAGGTCAGGAGATTGAGATTATCCTGGCCAACATGGTGAAACCCTGTCTCTACTAAAACAAAAAAAGGACAAAAATTAGCTGGGTGTGGTGATACATACCTGTAATCCCAACTACTCGGGAGGCTGAGGCAGGAGAATGGCTTTGAACCAGGGAGTCCAAGGTTGCAGTGAGCCGAGATCGTGCCACTGCACTTCCAGCCTGGCGACAGGCTCCGTCTTAAAAAAAAAGAAAGATGAAGCCCCGTGAGCTAGTTAATGCTGAGTTAGGCTTAACTCTTAAGCCTAATATTAGAGATTCTTGGTTGGGTGACATAGTATTATGTATAATACACTAGACTTTTGACAATCATTTGAGATGGTTTTTCTGGCAGGGGAGGAGGTGGAGTTTCGCCCTTGTTGCCCATGCTGGAGTGCAATGGCAAAATCTCGCCTCACTGCAACCTCTGCATCTTGAGTTCAAGTGATTCTCCTGCCTCACAGCCTCCTGAGTAGCTGGGATTACAGGCGCCTGGCACCTCCCCTAGCTATTTTTTGTACTTTTAGTAGAGACAAGGTTTCACCATGTTGGCC
>NT_167244.2:3186564-3230407 GCF_000001405.40 Homo sapiens
GGCCGGGCGGGGGGCTGACACCCCCACCTCCCTCCCGGACGGGGCGGCTGGCCGGGCAGAGGGGCTCCTCACTTCCCAGTAGGGGCGGCCGGGCAGAGGCGCCCCTCACCTCCCAGACGGGGCGGCTGGCCGGGCGGAGGGCTGACCCCCCCACCTCCCTCCCGGACAGGGCGGCTGGCCAGGCGGGGGGCTGACCCCCCCCACCTCCCTCCCAGACCGGGCGGCTGGCCGGGTGGGGGGGCTGACCCCCCCATCTCCCTCCCGGACGGGGTGGCTGGCCGGGCTGAGGGGCTCCTCACTTCCCAGTAGGGGTGGCCGGGCAGAGGCACCCCTCACCTCCCGGACGGGGCGGCTGGCCGGGCGGGGGGCTGACCCCCCCACCTCCCTCCCGGACGGCACGGCTGGCCAGGTGGGGGGCTGACCCCCCCACCTCCCTCCCGGATGGCACGGCTGGCCGGTTGGGGGGGCTGACCCCCCACCTCCCTCCCAGATGGGGCGGCTGGCCGGGCGGGGGGTTGACCCCCCCCACCTCCCTCCCGGACGGGGTGGCTGCCGGGCGGAGATGCTCCTCACTTCCCAGATGGGGTGGCTGCGGGGCGGAGAGGCTCCTCACTTCTCAGACGGGGCAGTTGCCGGGCGGAGGGGCTCCTCACTTCTCAGACGGGGTGGTTGCCAGGCAGAGGGTCTCCTCACTTCTCAGACGGGGCGGCCGGGCAGAGACGCTCCTCACCTCCCAGACGGGGTCTCGGCCGGGCAGAGGCACTCCTCACATCCCAGATGGGGCGGCGGGGCAGAGGCGCTCCCCACATCTCAGACGATGGGCGGCCGGGCAGAGACGCTCCTCACTTCCTAGATGTGATGGCGGCTGGGAAGAGGCGCTCCTCACTTCCTAGATGGGATGGCGGCCGGGCGGAGACGCTCCTCACTTTCCAGACTGGGCAGCCAGGCAGAGGGGCTCCTCACATCCCAGACGATGGGCGGCCAGGCAGAGACGCTCCTCACTTCCCAGACGGGGTGGCGGCCGGGCAGAGGCTGCAATCTCGGCACTTTGGGAGGCCAAGGCAGGCGGCTGGGAGGTGTAGGTTGTAGTGAGCCGAGATCACGCCACTGCACTCCAGCCTGGGCACCATTGAGCACTGAGTGAACGAGACTCCGTCTGCAATCCCGGCACCTCGGGAGGCTGAGGTTGGCGGGATCACTCGCGGTTAGGGGCTGGAGACCTGCCCGGCCAACACAGCGAAACCCCGTCTCCACCAAAACCAGTCAGGCATGGCGGCGCGTGCCTGCAATGGCAGGCACTGGGCAGGCTGAGGCAGGAGAATCAGGCAGGGAGGTTGCAGTGAGCCGAGATGGCAGCAGTACAGTCCAGCTTCGGCTCCGCATGAGAGGGAGACCGTGGGGAGAGGGAGACAGAGGGAGAGGGAGGGAGAGCCGGTGGATAAACTCTTTAAACTAGATTCTAAGCCTGGTACAGTGGTATGTGCCTGCAGTCCCAACTCTATCTACTCTAGGAGGCTGAGGCAGGAGGATCCCTTGAACTTCAGTCTGAATCTAACCTGGGCAACATGGCAAGACTCCATCTGTAAAAAGCAACAACACTAGATTCTCAGCTTTTGTTCGTTTGTTTAAGACAGTCTCGCTGTGTCTCCCAGACTGGAATGCAATGGTATGATCTTGGCCCACTGTAACCTCTCGCTCCCGGGTTCAAGCGATTCTCCTTCCTCAGTCTCCTGAATAGCTGGGACTACAGGCGCGACCCACAACACCCAGCTAATTTTTGTATTTTTGGTAGAGACGGGGTTTCGTCATGTTGACCAGGATGGTCTTGAACTCCTGACTTCAGGTGATTCGCTTGCCTCTGCCTCCCAAAGTGCTGGGATTATAGGTGTGAGCCACAGCGCCTGGCCTAGATTCTGAACTTTTTAATTATTATTTTTTAGATTGATAACACTTACCCCGATTTTTTTTTTTTTGAGGGAGAGTCTCGCTCCATAGCCCAGGCTGGAGTGCAGTGGCATGATTTCAACTCACTGCAATCTCCGTCTCCCAGGTTCAAGCGATTCTCCTGCCTTAGTCTCCTGAGTAGCTGGGATTGTAGGTGCCTGCCACAATGCCTGGCTAATTTTTTGAATTTTTAGTAGAGACAGTGTTTCACCATGTTGGCCAGACTGGTCTTGAACTCCTGACCTCAAGTGATCCCCCTTCCTCAGCCTCCCAAAGTGCTAGGATTACAGGCGTGAGCCACCGTGCCCAGCCAACTTGCCCCAATTTTTAAATAACTTATTTTATTTTATTTTTTAAATATTTCCTTGGCCGGGTGGGGTGGCTCACACCTGTAATCCCGGCACTTTGGGAGGCCGAGGCGGGCGTATTGCCTGAGGTCAGGAGTTCGAGACCAGTCTGGCCAACATGGTGAAACCGGGTCTCTACTAAAAATACCAAAAAATTAGCCGAGCGTGGTGGCAGGCGCCTGTAATCCCAGCTACTTAGGAGGCTGAGGCAGGGGAATTGCTTGAACCAGCGAGGCAGAGGTTGCGGGGAGCCAAGATTGCGCCACTGCACTCCAGCCTGGGCAACAGAGCAAGACTCCGTCTCAAAAAAAAAAAAAAAATTTCCTCACAGAGTAGAGCTAACTCATAAGCAGTGTGCCCAGAGTCGGCCCACTTTGTCCCATTAGTACAAACAAGCTCTTTCCCCTTTCAGTCTCCTGCCACTTGTCCCAATCTTTCCTGTGTATTTTTTTTTTTTTTAAGATGAAGTCTTGCTCTGTCGCCCAGGCTGGAGGGCAGTGGCATAATCTCGGCTCACTGCAACCTCTGCCTCCCAGGTTCAAGTGAGTCTCCTGCCTCAGGCTCCCGAGTAGCTGGGACTACAGGCGTGTGCCACCACATATGGCTAATATTTGTATTTTTAGTAGAGATGGGGTTTTACCATGTTGGCCAGGCTGGTCTAGAACCCCTGACCTTGTGATCCGCCCACCTCGGCCTCCCAAAGTGCTGGGATTACAGGCGTGAGCCACTGCACCTGACCCTTCCCTGTGTATTAAAAGAAAAAAAAAAAGCTGGAAAAAAAAGGTTCTTTAACTATTTCTGCAACTTTGACGTACATATAATTCATTTTAGCTGGACACTTGCACTTGTTTAAAAGTTCTGACCCTGGTTTTCAAACTTAAACGTATTACGAATCACCCAGAAGGCTTGTTAATGCCTGGTGGCTCCAACACCAGAGCTTCAGATTCCATGGGTCTGTAAAGAGTGAGGGAGGGAAGGTCAAGCTTTTTTTCTTTCTTGAAGGTTTTTTGTTTTGGTTTGGTTTTTTGGAGATGAGGTCTCACTCTGTCACCTAGGTTGGTGTGCAGTGGTGCAATCATAGCTCACTACTGCCTCGAACTCCTGGGGTCAAAGAGATCAAGCCATCCTCCCATGTAGCTAGGACTATAGGTGTGCGTTACCATGCTTGGCTAATTTTTAAATTTTTTAGACATGGGGTATTGCCATGTTGCCCAGGATGCCCTTTAATTTGATCATCCTGCCTTGGTCTCCCGAAGTGCTAGCATTACAGATCTGAGCCACCACACCTAGCCAGGAAGGTAGTGTCTGTCTCTCAAGCCTCCCAGCACTTCTGTTTCTAACAGGTAGTAGTTCATGGGTCAGACATTCATAGTGTCCTTTCCTTTTTGTCTTCCACTATTTCTTTTTCTTTTTTTTTTTGAGCAAGGGCTCTCCCACTTACCTGCAGGCTGAACAGATTCTTTTCATAAGCATCTGCCTGGGGAATATTTTCTTACATAATTTGCCATAGGAAGTGCTCACTTCTCTGTCAGGCTAGCTGGGACAGGATTCCCATCTGCATTTCACACACTTGCACCCTATTTCATGGAGGATGGTATCCTACCCCATGTTAGAAATATAAAACAGCGTGGATTTTTTTTTTTTCAGACGGAGTCTCACTCTGTTGCCGAGGCTGGTGTGCAGTGCTGTGATCTCAGCTCACTGCAAACTCCGCCTCCTGGTTCAAGTGATTCTCCTGCCTCAGCCACCTGAGTAGCTGGGACTATAAGTGTAAGCCAACACGCCTGGCTAGTTTTTGTATTTTTAGTAGAGATGGGATTTCACCATATTGGCCAGGCTGGTCTCGAACTCCTGACCTTGTGATCCGCCCACCTTGGCCTCCCAAAGTGCTGGGATTATATGTGTGAGCCACCACGCTTGGCCAAGTGTGGATTTTAAAATATCTTACAGGCTGGGTGCAGGGGCTCAAGCCTGTAATCCCAGCACTTTGAGAGAACATGGCCGGCAGATTGCTTGAGCTCAGCAGTTTGAGACCAACCTAGGCAATATAGTGAGACTTTGTCTCTACTAAAAATTAAAAAAATCAGCCCGCCGGCACCATGGCTCATGCTTGTAATCACAACACTTTGGGAGGCCAAGGCGGGTGGATCACCTGAGGCCAGGAGTTTGAGACCAGCCTGGCCAACATGGTGAAACTCCGTCTCTACTAAAAATACAAAAATTAGCCGGGTGTGGTGGTGGGCACCTGTAATCCCAGCTATTCGGGAAGCTGAGGCAGAAGAATCGCTTGAACCTGGGAGGCAGAGGTTGCAGTGAGCCGAGATCGCACCACTGCACTCTAGCCTGGGTGCCAGAGCAAGACTCCATCTCAAAAAAAAAAAAATTAAATTAAAAAATGAATAAATAAAAAATAAAAAATATCTTATGGCACTCCCTTCATACTCATTACACCTGTGAAGATCAACCTGTTTCTCGGTGATAAGAAGGAATGTAGGCTGGGTGCGGTGGCTCATAGCTGTAACCTCAGCACTTTGGGAAGCTGAGGCATGAGGATTGCTTAAGCACAGGAGTTCCATACCAGCCTGGGCAACATAGCGCAACCTTGTCTCTACTGAAAATAAAAATTAAAAAAATTAACCAGGCATGGTGTCACTGACCTGTAGTCCCAACTACTCCGGAGGCTGAGACGTGAGGATCACTTGAGCCCAGGAGGTTGAGGCTTCAGTGAGCCGTGATTGTGCAACTGCACTCCAGCCTGGGTGACAGAGCGAGCCCTGTCTCAAAAAAAGCAACAACAAAAAAAGAGGGCATGTCAAAAGGAAAAGAGGATTTGATTTGCCAAAGTCAGATTTTCACAGGCAGTACGCACATCAGGTCTCTCCCCAGAACTCACCCAGGCTCACAAGGATACATGAGGAAAACAGACACGAAGATGTGCATTGACAGAACCATAGAGACTCTACAAATATTCATTATCCTTCATTAAAAATTTTAAGTTACAAACATTTTGATTGATAGTCAGTCATGGTGGTGCACCTAGTCCTTACTCTGAAACCAAATATCCTGCCATCTGGGGACTTTCACCAGCCCTGTCGGTTATCTTACCGCAACACCAAAGAGGAGGCTCAGCCTTCCCCAGTTCCCTGAGTTCACATTGATTCAATTCTACAGCTCACTAGACCTGCCCAAGACAGGACCAATCAATGTCCCGGGAGGGCAGAGAGGGTGGTGGGGCCACACTTAGCCATATGGAAAGACAGTATTCTCAGATGAGGGCAGGACTTTTTTGTGGGAGAGGACGCCTAGCTTTCAGTCCTAAAGGAAGTGATTTCCCTGGTAAAGGGAAGGTGATTTTGCCAAGGCTGGAGTCTAAAGGAAGATGGAACTGTCTTTCAGGCGTCTCCAGCAGACCCTCTACAGACCCGTGTTCCTGAAGGCAGAGTCCTGAAGGCAGAATACCCCTGTGGCAGTGGCACAGCTCAGAGTGTCCCATAGACACTGATTTTGGCCACGGAGATGCTCTCTGTGTAGTGGTTCCGGCCTTTCTCATACAGGACGTAGAGCTGGGGGGCCTGCTCCTCTCCATCCATGCTGCCCTCCAGGGTTGCCAGGGATGAATAGCCACTGGGGCCTGGCCATAGCTGGACTGTCTCTTTCCGCCATGAGGTACCATTGCTGAAGCTCCATCGCAGGGTCAGGTTCACTCCTGGGGAGAGCAGGAGAGTCAGGGAGAGAGGGTCTCTGCCCAGGCCTTGTCTAGACACAGGGCTCTCCCTGCTGACCCCACCCATGAGGCACTCACGGAACTCTGGATGTGCTGGGTTGGAGAAGAAGACAATGCCGGAGCTGGTGACTACAGCTCCTGCAGCTACCACAGGGTCCACGAGCTCAGGGTCGAAGGTCACATCACGGGGCCTTAGTGTATCACAGGCATCATAGCTGCGGAGGACAATTCGGCAGTGGCAGTGGTAGTTGTTCTGGTTTCGGGCATTGATGACGACTGAGCCATCTGGGAGCTCATAGGGCTGAGGGGAGAGGACAGGACCTCAGGGAGGGAACAGGGAAAATGCCCTGTCCCCGAGGGGAGCAAGGGTGTGTGGCACTGAGTGGAGCAGTCAGACCCTGGGTCTGTGCGTGAAATGATGTTCTGGAGGGCAGGGAGGGTCAAATGGGTAGGGAACATCTCATGGACTCCTGACCTGGCATTCATCAGGATTGAAATCATTTTCCTGCTTGGGCTGACCGTAGGGGATGCCGCTGACCCCACTTCCGTAGCGCCAGGAGGCACCATGATCATCGCTGAGGAGACAGAAGACTCCGTCCCGCTCCAGCGTCCCATGGCCACACACGATGAGGCGGCCCTTCCGTGGCTCCCGCTGTTTCTGTGGGAAAGGGAACTGGGTGTCACAGAAGGAGACTCTAGGGGCTCAGAGGCAGGGACAGAGAACCCACCACTTCCCAAATGCAATCACATGTATGGTCCCCTTGAGTTCAGCCCTTGCTCACTGAGGGTTCCAGTCAGATCCCATAAATACACACCCTGTTTGAATTAAGAAGCTCTCCCAGGGTGTACAGCTGGACATGTGCACCAGGGGCCCAGCCACAGGGTGCATGAGAGCTTAAACCCAACCTGTGCTCACTCGCCAAGCTGTGCACCCTGGCACAGGCTTGTGTCTGTCCAAAGAGGCAGTGCCTTTTTCTACTTTGCATGAGGGTATTGCATGGACTAACGCAGTCCTGTTGACAATGCCAAATGGGAAGCCAATGGCAGAGTTCCCTCTTCTCCTGATAATGTGTTCCTACCAGGATGCCCTGTCTTTCAAGGAATCCCACCCAAGCCAGAAAATCTGACTTCAGAGAATCTTCCCCTTGGAAAGGAGTCCATTTGGGGGTATCCCTCAGACTCTCCACAAGGCAGCCCCCTCCACCTATCTCCTAGGACAGAGACCTGAATACCAGAGCCCGGTCCAGGGGCAAACACTTCAGTGCCAATATCCAGGGAGAGATTCCGGGGTGTGCTCCAGGAAACACCATCATCCTTGCTCCATACCAACATGGTAGAGGCCACCTGGCAGCCGGCCTTGTGAGCACAAAGGGAGTAGAAAAGAAATACTACTCCTGTCTCAACATCGCTCACTACTGCCCCAAGGTTCAGCCCATCGGGGACATCCCCATCATTGACAATGAACGCTGTAGGAGACCATGTGCTGCCTGAAAAAAATTGGAGGAAGAAACCCAGAGTGAGCACTCTGCAGGTACCCTTTCTACCACTTCCCGTTAATTTCCCACCTTCTGCTAGGGACCTCAGGCCTTCCGATGGTCCCAGGGTGCAATCCAACACTTGCACTATCTATACCTCTTGTCCTGTTTTATTTTTCTCCATTGCATTTATCACCTTGCAACAGACAAAAAAGTTTACTTGTTTATTATGCTTGTCTGTCTCCTTCCAGTACAATTTAAATCCTGAGGGCAGAGATTTTTGATCTGTTTTGTTCGTGGCTATATTCATGAAACCTAAAATAGTGCCTGGTATAGGTATATAGTACCCAATAAATGTTTGCTAAGTGAATGTCCAACTCCTTGGTGATCCCAATTTCCAGATCACTGTCCTAGACACTTGCCCTTCTCGGGTTCCCTCTACCCCTCAGGGACTCAGGCAACCAACCCTCTAAGTTCCCCTATCCTCAGGGCCCTTGGGCTCATTGGGCTGCCCACCCATCCAACCTAGCACCGGCTCTTTCACCCAGACATCTTTATACCCTGGTCCATGGACCTCCGCAGGGCGATGAACTTGGCCCCCTCATCGGATGAGGACATTTTCCTCGCCTCAGCAAAGGCGAGAAGAGTGCCCCGCGGAGTGGCTGTGATGAGCGGGATGCGGAAGGTGTCCACTGAGCCGATCTGTCTCCCGCTCACCCACAGCAGTTGCTCCATGGTCACCAGCGGCTGCACCTGTCATGGGAGGAGGAAGGGTCAACAAAGACAAACTTGTCTTGGGGGTTTTAGGAACCCACGTTCCGATGGGAGAGGGAGGATCTAATGGGGATCCCGAGTAGGGGATGGGGTCCCAGAACAAGAAAGAGGAACACGAAGGGGAGTTTGGAGCGAAGCTGGAGGCTCGGAGCAGGGGAGGGTCTACGAAAGGAGAAGGCGCCTTCAGGGAGGGAAGGGGACCCCAAAAGAGGAAGGGGCTCGAATGAGGAGAAGGACGGGGACCCGGAGAGGGAGAGGGGCTGGGAGCGGTAGGAGGAAACGGGGTCTGGGAGAAAGAAAAGGGTCCTGTCGCGGAAAGTCGGCTCAGCCGCCCGCGTTCCGGGGGACACTAGGTGTCGATCACCTGCGCGGGTCGGGGATGGGGCTATGCAAAGGGTGACTCACCAGACCGAAGTCGTTCTCAGCCTTGGACCAGGAGGCTGCCAGAGACAGCAGCAGGAAGATCGCGGCAAACACCCAAACCCTACAGCCTCCCCAGAAGCCCAGAATCCGCGGCCCCCAGCGTCTGTCCGGGAGCGCCGTGCTGGGTCGCTCCCCAGTCATCTCTCCCCGCAGCTGCCGCGACCCTGGCAGCTAGACTCCACAGAGTCGGGAGTCAGCTGACCCGGACCCTTTAAAGCGCAGATGTCACCCTTAAGCCCGCCCCGGTCTGGAGGCCCCGCCGCGCTTCCCGGACTCTAATTGGTCTTCAAGTAGCTCATCTCCTCCCACGTGATCACGCAGCATCTCGAAGCTTGCCCTTCCGATTGGCCCTCTTGGAGGCCCTCTTGGAGGCCCGGAGCGCGTGACCCGAACGGGAAGCGGACTGGCTGGGGTGAAGAAGGGACTGGCACCATCCTTATTGGGCTTTTTGATTGGCCGCGGCACCAGGACACGTCACAGGGGCGGGGCCGATTTTAAAGAGCCGGGCGCGGAAAAAAAAAGGCCGCCTGTCGTCGTGGAGAGAATGAGTCACAGATTTACTGAGTTAACAAAATATCTTTAATAAAATCTTTTTGTTTGTTTGTTTTGTTTTGGAGACAGAGTCTGTCACCCAGGTTGGAGTGCAGTGGCGCGATCTCGGCTCACTGCAACCTCTGCCTCCCGGGTTCAAGCGATTCTCCTGCCTCAGCCTCCCGAGTAGCTGGGATGACAGGTGCATGCCACCACTCTCGGCTAATTTTTGTATTTTTAATAGAGACGGAGGTTTCACCATGTTGGCCAGGCTGGTCTCGAACTCCTGACTCAGGTGATCCGCCCGCCTCAGCCTCTCAAAGTGTTGGATTACAGGCGTGAGCCACGGCGCCTGGCCTAAAACCTTTTTTTACCACAAAATGGAGACCTGTAAGGCGAAGTGAGGTTGGATGGCTGGACGGTGGGGGTGGGGTGCAGTCCTGGATCAGGGCCGGAGCTGTCACTTCTTCCTCTTCTTGTTGTCCGGGGGCGCCTCGTTCTTCTTGCCCAGAATCTTTAGAAGGCTCTTGGACATGTAGTAGGGCCGGTCCAGGGAGCCGTTGTTCCGCTCCAGGTCTTCCACTGAGCCGCAACAGAGACCGGTTAGAGCGGACCCTGGGGCCAGGAAATCGGGGACTGGGAGGCAAGCTGCCTGCGGGATTTGGAATCCAAGCTGCACCACCACCCTTACCCCCGGGCAGGTTATGTAATCTCAGTTTCCTCCTGTGAAGTGGGGTCGGGAATATTATGTTGCATAGAGCGATGATAAGAATTAGCGGAAAAAATGCATGTCAGTCGCTTAGGAGGAGACTGGCAAACCCTGAATGGATGCATGCTGTAGAGTAAGAAAATCCCCTGCCGCTACAGCCACCTGCTGGGAAGTCTCTCTAATGGCTCTTTTTTTTTTTTAATCTTTTTTCTTTGTTTTGAGACGGAGTCTTGCTGTCGCCCAAGCTGAAGTGCAGTAGCGCAATCTCGGCTCGCTGCAACCTCCGCCTCCTGAGTTCAAGCGATTCTCCTGCTTCAGCCTCCCAAGTGGCTGGGATTACAGGCGCCCGCCACCGCGCCCAGCTAATTTTTTGTATTTTTAGTAGAGAGGGGTTTCACCATGTGGGCCAGGCTGGTCTCGAACTCCTGACCTCAGGGTGATCTGCCCACCTCGGTCCCCCAAAGTGCTGGCATGACAGGCGTGAGCCACCATGCCTGGCCTCTAATGGCTAACTTCTACCCGAGATTTCTTAGGGAAGATAGCAGAGACCTCTCCATCAGAATGCTCCTTCTTTGGAGAGCCTACCGGCCTGGGGGCTCACTCTCTTCCTTCTTCCCTAAACGCCTGGCCTCAGGATGTCACAAGAAGCTCCCTCTGGTTCGTTTAGCTCACAAAGGCATTGTTTCTAGAAGCACCAAATCTCCAAAAAAAAAAAAAAATGCTTGAACGGCTCAGTACTTTAAGGTTGGGGACAGGTGGCTGGGGGTGTCACTCACGGAAGCAGAGGAAGAGCGTGTCCACACACATGCCGAAAACGCTGAAGAAGCCGCTGGCGATGACATAGGCCCCCAGGATGGAGGTCTGGAAGACATGACCCGTTGGGGTTATTGGGTTCCTCTGGGGAGTTGGGGGTGGAGCAGCAGAGAGGGGAGTCACTCACCATGATGGGCAGCCAGTAATAGTTGAGGTGGGGGCTCTTAAAGTCTTTACCCAGCCCCGGGATGCGACCGGAGAAAAAAAAGAAGGACAGGACCCCTGTGGAATAATTCTGGGGGTTAGTGCTGCACCTCTGAGGCCACCTCTTCAGCTGCCCAGCACCCCTACCCTCTGTCCCCACAGCTTCTGGTCCCTTACCCACGCCTCCGACCACCAGCAGCTTCCCAAAGAACAGCAGCAGGTCTGTGACTTTGTCCAGGACGACCACCCTGTGCCAGAAGTTAGGGCAGGTTGAGGGTGAGAGGCCTGGCAATGCTGAGAGTGAAATTGGCTTCGTAATTTGTGGGGACTGGTGCAAAATGAAAATTGTTCACGTTTCAAGATGGCAAGAGCAGAGCACTAAACTAAGTCTAGGGCCCGACTGAGCACAGCACACCCACGAAGCCAGCCTTGGGTGGGAGATCAGAGGAGGGAGCCACAAAGCGGGGGGGGAGCAGCCTAACCTGACAATGTTTCGCATGAGTAGCATGAACGCATTTTTGGCTGAGACACAGAAATTCTTCCCGTAGATGGCGATCTGAGGGAGGTGGAAAGGTCAGAGTTACCAAGGCGAGCTGCCTGGACCAGGATGGGGGTGTCTAGACCAAAGGGCACCAGAACAAAGGGTTGCTTGCAGTGTAGCTCACCATGATGTATGCATTGCGGTTTAGGAACTTGATAAATTTTTCCAGACACCAGAGGCAGCACTTGAAACAGCACATGATGCAGCGGGCTACAGGGTTCTGCACTCCTGGGAGCGAGGAAGGCTCATGTTTGGTCACTGCCCCTCCCTAATGGCCTTCCCCAGCTCCTGACTCCTACTCCGACTCCAGACTCACCTCTGAGCTTGTGGTCAATATACTCCAAGATGACCCGGGCTATCTGCACAAGGGTCAGGATGAGGGCTCCAAATGCCAATGACCCAGTGTGGTAACTGCAGAGGGTGTTATGCAGTCAGAGACAGCTCCAGGACCCCTGGGGCCCCCGTGCCTACAATGACCAGGCCCCTGCCCCATCCTTACCGGAGTGTGCGGATGAAGGCAGAGATTAAGGGGAAGGTAGGGATGTCCTGGGGCTTGTGGAAGGCCCAGTAGAAGGAGGCAAAGGCTCCAGCGAGGACGCATTGGCCCAGGGCCAGTACCCAGTTAAGGGTCCAGAAGAGCCCCAGGACCCCATAGATTTGCAGATTGAAGACAGAACGTTGGATTAGGCCTTTGGATGAGTAGCCCTGGAAGACGCACATCAGCCCTGGGCACGAGGAGTTCACAAGGTGGGCCTGGGAGGGTAGACGGGGATAGAGTAGGCTCAGGCATCGGGGGCCTCAGTATGGAGCCTGGGCGTCCCATTCCCAGTAGCTCCTGCCCCTCCCAGAGTTGACAGGTGGGAAGTAGCTTCTCTGGACTGCGGGAATCAAGTTCTGTCGGAGAGTTCCATCTCCAGGCTCAAACTCAGTTTGGTCTGCCTATAGCATAAGCATAATCAGCTCCCTCAGTCTCAATCAGAGGGGAAGGCACTCACTCAGCATTCCCATTCCAGAGCAGCCTCTGCAACGTCTACCAAAACCCTTTCCGGCAAATTGAACAGGCTGGGTATTTGATGATATTAAGGAATTATTGTTAATTTTGTGAGATGTGATAATGATATAGTGGCTATGCTTTTAAACAGTTCTTATCTGTTGAGATCCATCTCGATGCATGTACAGGTGAAATGGCATGATGTCCAGAATTTGCCTTAAAAGTCTCCAGAAAAAAAAATTTATGAGGCGGGTGCGGTGGCTTATGCCTGTAATCTCAGCACTTTGGGAGGCCGAGGTGGGCGGATCGCCTGAGGTCAGGAGTTCAAGACTAGCTTGGCCAACATGGTGAAATCCCATCTCTACTGAAAATACAAAAAATTAGCCGGGCGTGGTGGCAGACGCCTATTATCCCAGCTATTCAGGAGGCTGAGGCAGGATAATTGCTTGAACCCAGGAGGCAGAGGTTGCAGTGGGCCGAGATCGCGCCACTGCACTCCAGCCTGGGAGACAAGAGCAAAACTCCATCTCAAAAAAAAAAAAAATTATAGGTGAGGATATAGATGAAATAAGAATAGCAAAAAGTTGAGGGTTGTGGAATCTGGGTACAGGGAACTCACTGTGCTATCATCTCTACTTTTGCATATGTTTAAAAATTCCCATAATAAAAAGTAAAAAGTCACAAATTAAAAAGCAACCCTTTCTAGCAAATATAACCAAAAAAATTTTTTTTTGACACAGGGTCTCGCTCTGTTGCCCAGGCTGGAGTACAGTGGCTCAATCTCAGCTCACTGCAACCTCTGCCTCCCGTGTTCAAGCAATCCTCCTGCTTCAACCTCCCAAGTAGCTGGGACTGCAGGTGTGTGCCACCATGCCTGGCTAATCAAAAAATCTTTTTTTTTTTTTTGAGATGGAGTCTCACTCTGTCACCATATTGGCCAGGTTGGTCTCGAACTCTGGACCTCATGATTCACCTGCCTCGGCCTCCCAAAGTGCTGGGATTACAGGTGTGAGCCACTGCGCGCGGCCTTCTGTCAGTCTTTACTGCTAGATCACAAGCAAGTTGAAAACAACACTCACGTCATACCCAGCACAGTTGCTCATGTGTATAATCCCAACACTTTTGGAGGCTGAAGCAGGCAAATTGCTTGAGCCCATTTGTTTGAGACCAGCCTGGGCAACATAGTGAAACGCCATCTCTTAAAAAAAAAAATTAGCCGGGCATGGTGGCACTTGTTTGTAGTCCCAGCTACTTGGGAGACTGAGGTGAGAAGATCACTTGAGCCTGGGAGATCAAGGCTTCAGTGAGCCATGATCGCATCACTGCACTCCAGCCTGTGTAACAGCCTTTTTTTCATTAAAAAAGAAAAAAAAAAGAAAAAGAAAAAGAACCACATCATTTTGGGCTTTGTATACCCAGTGCCTGGCACATAGTGGGTCCTCTGTACATGTAAATAAACCTTTTTTTTTTTTTTTTGAGACGGAGTCTCGCCGCCCAGGCTGCAGTGCAATGGCGCGATCTCAGCTCACTGCAACCTCCGCCTCCCGAGTTCAAGCAATTCTCCTGCCTCAGCCTCCTGAGTAGCTGGGATTACAGGCACCTGCTACCATGCCTGGCTAATTTTTGTACTTTTAGTGGAGACAGGTTTTTGTCATGTTGGCCAGGCTGGTCTCAAACTCCTGACCTCAGGTGATCTGCCCACCTCGGCCTCCTAAGTGCTGGGATTACAGGCATGAGCCACCGCGCCTGCCAAACCTCCCCTTTTTAATAGGGGTGGGGCTAATGCCTGCAGCACAGCTCATGTTCCCAGCTCAGACGAGGTGAAGATATGACAGGTTTGAGAAGAGTAAATTCCCAGCAGCCCAGCGCCACTCCCGGGGAACCTCACAGGGGAATTTTGGAAGCAGCTTCTCTCTCGGGTCCCCCGCAGGGAGTCCCACCTGGCTACTACCTAGGGCTCTGTGTTCCAAGGGAGTAAGACTTAACAATATAATACAATTCAACCTGTTGTTGAGCTCTTATCAGGTGCCAGGCATTGTACTAAGCACTTTATGTGCCCAAAGTCATTTCATCTTCTCAGCCACCCCAGGGATGGGTATTATAATTATCCTCATTTTACAGAGGAATGGAGCTGCATGTGGTGGCTCACTCCTATAATCCCAGTACTTTGGGAGGTTAAGCCAGAGGATTGCTTGGGTACCTGACTACATCGGGGCAACCCCAGGAGTTCAAGACCAGCCCGGGTAACACAGCAAGACCTTGCCTCTACAAAAAGCTTAAAATTAGCCTGGCGTGGTGTCATACGCTAGTAGTTCCAGCTGCTCAGGAGGCTGAGGTGGGAAGATTGCTTGAGCCTGGGGGATGGAGGTTGCAGTGAGCTGAGATTGCACTGCTGCACTCCAGCCTGGGCAACAGAGCAAGACCCTGTCTCAAAACAAACAAACAAACAAACAAACAAACAAACAAACAGGAGTAGGCTGAGACTCAGAGGGTGAAGTGGTTGATGGTCCTCAAGTCAGAGCAATGTCCTGGGGAGGGGTGGAGTAAGTCCTGGTATCCAGGGCTGTCTCTCCCAGCCTCAGTTTCCCTCCCCACATGATGGATGGCTCAACAGGAGTACCAGGTATTCTGGGAACTGGTTTCTTCTAGCTCTGCTGGGGGTTGAGTGTGTGACCTTGCACAAGTGTCTTGCCCTCTGTGGCCTCAGTCTTCTCTGCACAATGAGGAATGTGGCCCCTACAGCCCCTCACCCCTACTAGTCCCGCCTCCATGTCCCCTGCTTCCTCTTACCGTGGGGTTGCATGATGTATTTATTGGCACTTTCTCACAGCCGGGGGAGCTGATGTTGGATGCCCAGAGCACATACTGGGGTTGCCCCGATGTAGCCAGGTACCCAGAGGGGAGTCAAGGAAAGCATGATCACACGAGGTCTCCACAGGTCACTCGCTCCTTAGGGACCTGTTCCTAGGTGCTTGTGCAGATCGTTTGCTGCACAGAGAGGGCTGAAATTCAGCCTGTGTGCACCCTTTCAACTCTGTTCAGGCACAGTGCTGGTGTGTCTGCCCAGAGAAAGGGGCACCTCTTCCAGTGACACCAAGGCACTCTACAAGGCAAGTATTGCTTTGTTTTCCATCAACCCCCAGGACTCCAAGAGTGGCTGGCTGCGTGGGCAGAGGATACAGAGCAGTCATGGCCCAGTAGGCAATGCAGATGAGGAGGAGGACAAAGGTGACCAGTGGGTAGAACATGGTAGACATCATCTGTCCCACAGCCCTGCAGGGAGACAAAGCTGTTAACCGGCACCGCCCCAGCTGTCCATCTTCTCAAGGGGCTGACCCCGGCCGGGCGCGGTGGCTCACGCCTGTAATCCCAGCACTTTGGGAGGCTGAGGCGGGCGGATCACGAGGTCAGGAGATCGAGACCATGCTGGCTAACACGGTGAAACCCCATCTCTACTAAAAATACAAAAAATTAGCCGGGCATGGTGGCGGGCGCCTGTAGTGCCAGCTACTCCGGAGGCTGAGGCAGGAGAATGGCGTGAACCCGGGAGGCGGAGTTTGCAGTGAGCTGACATCGCACCACTGCACTCCAGCCTGGGCGACAGAGCGAGACTCCGTCTCAAAAAAAAAAAGGGGGGGGCTGACCCCGCTGCCCTCACTGGGGCCTGCCCCACTCCCCCAGGGTGGGACCAACAGGGTTAGTGACATTGTCTTTCATATCTGTGTCCTCAGGGCCTGGTGCAGGGCTAGGCATACTGTAGGTGCTCACTGGATAAACAGAACTGAATAAATCAGGCTCACAGGACCCTTAGAGGAAACTAGGGTCACAGAGAAGCCACCTGGGGCAGCTTCGGGTGGAGTAAGGGAAGATCACCCCCAAGCGTGATCCCTTGGCAGGTGTGTGTGGCAGTTCCTGATCGGGAGCAAGCTGCTGCCCCTCCTGGCCCGGATTCCTGCCGTTCCACTCAGCCACCACCACTCCCACCAACCCCTCTAGAAGGCCTATGTCATATTCCAGGCACTCATTGAATCCTCAAGACAACCCTAGAAGGCAGGAATTATTGTTACCCCCATTTTACAGATGGGGAAGCAAAGCCACAGCAGTGTTCACCACTGTGCTATATTCCTCCCTTCTCCTCTGAGGCTCCCTGCCACCTCTCTAGCACCCCCTAGGTCCCCTAGCACTCCTGGGTCCACGCTGTCCTCAACCCCATCTCCCTCCCAGGCAGGCCCTAACTTGCTGGCCTCCTTCAGGAGGGCGATGGCAATACGAATCCGCTGCCGCAGGAAGATGAGCACCAGCAGCAGGATGGCTTCAAGCACCGCCAACACGATCACTGCAGAGGATGGGGCAGACAGACCTAGGTCAGGGCCAGGGCTGGGGCCGGGCATGGCCCAGGGCAGTCCTTGGGCAGCTGGTGGCTTGGGGGTGGGCAGGACACTCACGGGCGGCCAGCCAGGTCTCCTGCACGCTCTGGTAGGCACTGAGGTTGGTGGTGAAACCCAGCTGGGAGATGGAGGCGCCCTTGTCCCGCAGCACTCGGTACTCCTCCCAGCAGTAGTAGATGCCATATGCCAGCACGCCCAGCACTCCCAGGATCAGCACCAGCACCAGGGGCCCAGCCACCAGGCGCAGAAGCAAGATAAACAGTAGGCTCAAGACCAGAGCCACCCCCAGGGCACTGTAGGCAGGGTGAGGACAGTGAGGTTCAGCCCTAGCCCCTCAAATCTTTCCCCTTACAGAGGCCCTCCCTGCCTTTCCACACACCACCCAATGTCCCCAGATTAGGCCTCTTTCCCTTATAAATCCTGTTGGTCTTGGAATCCATTCGGAGCTCTGGCTCCTCCTCCTCTGTCCAAAGCCTGTGTTTCAGACATTGGGCGAGGGGGTAGAGGATCAGGGAGGAAGAAGGCAAGGACACAAGAGGAGGGGAATCTGGTGACTCACACAAGAATCCAATACCAGGACTGGGCAAAATCTTCAAAGATCTTAACACTGATGTCTCGGGCATTGAGGCTGTCAATAAGACCGCTGTTGGGGAGACAGAGTCAGATGGGGCTGTGGGTGGAAGGGGTGTGGCCAGGATGTGGGGGAGGGAGGTGCCTACCTGATCCCCTGCTGTATGGTGGTGTCATTGGTGATCCCTGGGAGCGCCGGTGGAGTAATGTTGGTCCATGGAAAGCAGCGTCCCAGAGCTGGAAGGGAGAGCCGGGCTGCTGGGTTGGGGGCCAGGAGCTCTGCCTGGAGGGTCTCTGGCCCCCTCCCAGTCCACAGTGCCCTTAGGGGAGGGAAGGGTGATGGGCCTTGCATCCCTCAGTGGGCTGCTTTTGATTTCACAAATGGGCTTCTGTCCTGTGGAGCCCAGTCTATCCCCTGCCTCCCCTCCCTGTCGTGCCTTGGTTTGGACCCTCCTCTCCGCTGGCCTCAACTCTTAGAACACCCTGTCACCCTTCCATCCACCCTCCACCCGAGTGGAGTGCCAGGGAGACCGTGGCACTGCCTGGACTTCATCACTCCAGGGTTCTGGGTCCCTTTGTGACTCAGACATCTCCAGAGGCTCTGCCCCAGAGACAGCATCCACACTCCCTGGCCAGGCTTCCAGGCTCTCCTGTCCAAATCCAGCCCATGTTCCCTTCTAATCTGTACCTTTGCTCTTACTGTGCCTCTCTCTCAGGGCTCTCTTTCCACCAGAAATCCCATCCATGACTCCCTGTTCAAATCCAGCTCCATCTCACCTCCTCCAGGAAGCCTTCTGACCTTATCCCCACCTCCTTTGGCAACTGTTATGTGCCTACAGAGCCACTTACTGCCATCCTTGCAACAACTTTGCCAGGCAGCCTTGCTTTGTCATTTATTTATCTATTTATTTATTTATTTACTTATTTTTGAGTCAAGGTCTTGCTCTGTCACCCAGGCTAGAGTGCAGCTGCATGATCATAGCTTACTGCAACATTGAACTTCTGGGCTCAAGCGATCCTCCCCACTTAGCCTCCCAAGCAACTGGGACTATAGATGTGCACCACCACACTTGGCTAATTTTTAAATTTTTTGTACAGATGGGGTTTTGCTGTGTTGCCCAGGCTGGCCTCAAACTCCTGGGCTCAAGCAATCCTCCCACCTCAGCCCCCCAAAGTGTTGGGATTACAGGTGTGAGTCACCTCACCTAGCTTATTTATTTTTTAGAGGCAGGGTTTCTCACTCTATTGCCCAGGCTGGAGTGCAGTGGCACAATCATAGCTCACTGTAACCTCCAACTCCAGGACTCAAGTGACCCTCCCGCCTTAGCCTCCTGAGCAGTTGGGACTACAGGCGTGAGCCACTGCACCTCACTGTCATTTACATTCTAAAGATGAGGAAACAAGGTTCAGAGAGGTTGCATAGTTGGGTCAAGACCATAGGGCTGGAAAGTGCTAGAATTTATATTCAGATCTACTTGACTTTGAAGTATTCACTTGAGATACTCCTTACTGTACTTAAATTGGTAACTGGATATCTCATCTTATGCTATAAATTGTCTAATTTTTTTTTTTTGAGATGGAGTCTCACTGTTGCCCAGGCTGGAGTGCAGTGGCACCATCTCGGCTCACCGTAAACTCCGCCTCTGGGCTCAAGCAATTCTCCTGCTTCAGCCTCCCGAGTAGCTGGGATTTTAGGTGCCCACCACCACACCTGGCTAATTTTTGTATTTTTAGTAGAGACGGGGTTTCACCATGTTGGCCAGACTAGTCTCGAACTCCTGACCTTGTGATCCGCCCGCCTCGGCCTCCCAAAGTGCTGGGATTACAGGTGTGAGCCACTGCTCCCGGCCTAAAATTTTTGTTTGAGACGGAGTCTCGCTCTGTCAGCAAGGCTAGAGTACAGTGGCGCGATCTTGGCTCACTGCAAAGCTCACTGCAACCTCTGCCACCCGGGTTCAAGCAATTCTCCTGCCTCAGCCTCCTGAGTAGCTGGGATAAGAGGTGCATGCCACCACGCCCAGCTAAGTTTTGTATTTTTAGTAGAGATAGGGTTTCGCCATGTTGGCCAGGCTGGTCTCGAACTCCTGATCTCAGGTGATCTGCCTGCCTCAGCCTCCCAAAGTGCTAGGATTACAAGCATGAGCCACCATGCCTGGCCTAAAAATTGTTTTATATTAAAAATGACATTTGCAACTGGGTGTCGGGGCTCATGTCTGTAATCCCAGCACTTTGAGAGGCTGAGGTGGGAAGATTGCTTGAATCGAGGAGTTCAAGACCAGCCTGGGCAACATAGCAAGACTTCATCTCTTAAAAAAAAAAAAAAGACATTTGCTACTGGAAGGAAGAGCACACTGTAAAAGAAAAAAAGTTCAACTGTGATCCTACCACCCAGCCACGTTCACTTATAACATTTGAACAAATATCCTTCTAGCCTTTTCCCTGTGCATATATAAAAATGATATGTGTGCAGGCTGGGCGTGGTGGCTCATGTCTGTAATCCCAGCACTTTGGGAGGCCAAGGTGGGTGGATCACGAAGTTAAGAGTTCAAGACCAGCTTGGCCAAGATAGTGAAACCCCGTCTCTACTAAAAATACAAATTTAATAAATAAATTTAATAAATAAAATAAAAATAAAAATTAGCCGGGCGTGGTGGCGGGCACCATGTGCTGTAATTCCAGCTACTCGGGAGGCTGAAGCAGAGAAGCGCTTGAACCCGGGAGGCGGGGGTTGCAGTGAGCCGAGATCACGCCACTGCACTCCAGCCTGGGCAACAGAGGAAGACTCCGTCTAAAAAAAAAAAATGTGTGTGTAGATTCACCCATGTATGTTTTCATGAGATTTTCATACAGTCTCTTTGTGAACAACTCTAATCTCTTCACCTAGAATGTAGCTGAAGCAGGGAGCAGTTGTTATCCCTGCCTCTGTCCCCAGCACCTGGCACATAGTAGGTCCCCAAAACACTGATGGTCTGACTGCAAGGCCACATAACAAAGAGCAAAATGAAGACCTGATGCTAATTCCAATTTTGCCACCAACAAGCTATGTGACTTCACTCTCTCTGGGCCTGATTTCTTCATTCAAGCAATGAAAACACTGGACTAGATGACGTCTGAGGAAGGAATCTGTGCTTCTCACCTGGAGCAGAGGGGAGGAGGAAACTGGGGCAGAGTTCCTGTTGCAGGCTTGTGATCACCGTCTGTGGCAGGAGTGAAAGGACAGACACACAGACACAGAGCAGGATGAAGAAGCAGGTCCCCTCACCACCACCATGGGGCTCAGCCTGTCCCACACTCCCCAGGAGAGCCAACCTGGTGATGATCTACCCAACTCCCCCTCCCTCTCGTGCCCACCCTGGCCCTTCTGGGCGACAGTGATGAGGTTAGGGGCAATATTCACCATATTCCAGGGTACCCCTGGCAGACAAAAGTTCCTGTTTTTTGTATAGAAGACTTCCCCAACAGTCTGTGAGAACTCGTTTTTTCCCACAGTCCATGGGTCCTCCGGGCAGGAGGACACACACACCTGGGTGCAGAGAGAACACTAAGGGGCTGGAACCTGAGACCCTGGGTGAGATCTGGGGTAGAGGCAGGTCCCAGGCTCTGACCTGGGGTGTGGGGCACTGTAGGCCGTTCTCAGCAACTGAGATGATGTTGCTGGACAGGATGCAGCTGAAGATGTTGAAGTACAGGAGATACGGCTTATCTCTGTGGGAGGGGAGGGACCATGTGCATCAGGGCCTGGTCAGGTGTTGGGGGAGGGGAGGGACCACTAGGGTGGCTTCTCAAGAATACAGTGGGCCCAGCCCAGCGTGGCCCATACCAGTCACCTCCCAGCTCCTGGCCCTAGCTCAGCTGGGGAGGTAGGGAGATGCCTAGAAGATCTCTCAGAGTAAGTCACCATTGCAGCAGCTGACAAATAGCTCAGAGCATGAACTTGGAGCTCCACAACTTCATATCATCTTTATGATCTTGAGCAAGTCACCTGTTCTCGGTCTTAGTTCTACTCCATATAAAACAGTAGTGCCTACCTCATGAGATTTCAATGCGCTTGTGTGTGTAAAGTTTACTGCCTGCCTGGAACATAGTAAATGCTATATAAATATTTGAGGTTTTATTATTTATTGGACATCTGTATGTGAGGACTGTTGGCATTGCTTCTGGAATTCCCCTTGAATTTCAAATAAGGAAATCAAAGCTCAGAGAGCTTGAGTAACTTGTCCAAGGCCACACAACCAAAACTTGGTCCAGTTGGGGATCCAAACACCAATCTCTGAACTGTAAAACTCATACACTTAACACGACTCTCCACTGCCTCCCATTTCTGGGGGGACTCAAGAAGCTAACTGTCCAGCAATGGTTCTTAACGTGGCCTGGAGTTGTCAGATTCAGGGAGGCTGAGGTGGGGTGGGGACAGCAGGGAAAGGCTGTGGAAGAGCACGGACAGGTCTGGAGCCTGAGTTGGGGGGGTGTCTCCTGCCCACCCTACCTCGCCTCGCTCCTGCACTCCTCTTCTCGCCTTTGTACTCACTTGTTCTCCCCCATGCCACAGTAGGCCCCAGTAGAGTTCCTGGGGTAGAGGACTTGCCGGGGGTCTCCATACAACCAGGCTGCAGACAGAGGCACAGATGAGTCATTGGAGGGCAGGGACTTAGTGGGGCAGTTATGGGAATGGTCCCTCCCTGGGTTCCTGTCCCTCACCCACTGCCCTGGCTCTGAGCAGCTGGAAACTCACCCACAATCCCCACCACGATGTAACCTAGAATGAAGAGCAGGAAGAGGACGCAGCAGATGACATCTGTGCAGCTTCTGAGAGAGAAACGAAATGGGAGGCTGAGCTAAGGAGACTTGGGGAGGTAGGGCTTATGGTCTGGAGGGGTTAAGGGTTAGAGAGTTGGGTGATGCTGCAGCATGGGCATCAGTAGGCTTTATTTTTATTTTTTTATTGCTTTTACTTTTTTATTTTGAGACAGGGTCTCACTCTGTCACACAGACTGGAGTGCAGTGGTGCAATCTTGGCTCACTGCAGCCTCTGCCTCCTGGGTTCAAGCAATTCTCCTGCCTTAGCCTCCCGAGTAGCTGGGATTACAGGCGCGTGCCACTACTGCCCGGCTAATTTTTTTTAAATATTTTATTTAGAAAACCTAGCCAGGCACAGTGGCTCACGACTGTAATACTAGCTACTTGGGAGGCTGAGGCAGGGCAATCCCTTGAGGCCAGGAGTTTGAGACCAGCCTGGGCAACATAGTGAGATCCCATCTCAAAGAAATTAGCCTGGTGTGATGGTGCATGCCTGTAGTCCCAGCTACTCGGAAGGCTAGGGCAGGAGGATCACTTGAGCACAGGAGTTCGAGCCTGCAGTGAACCCCCATCTCCAAAACACAAAAAGAAAGAAAACCTTTTTCTGGGTGGGTAAACTTTCTTCTGAAGTAAAAGACAGAAAAGCACACAACTCGCAAGGGCTCAGCTGGGTGAGTTCTCTCGCTTGTGAAGCCGGCACTTAAGTCAAGAAACAGAACATCCCCCCAGAACTGGGAAGCCCTCGATGCCTGCTCCAGACACAACAATCCCCCCAGGGCACCACCCATCTGGGGCAGGAGTTTCTCTTTTTCACAAGTTTCCTACTAATATTTTAGCAAATACAAAGCAAATACTGGATTCCACACTGCACCCACCACCCCCGCCAGCCCCCGGAGCAGTGCCCAGAGCTCACCTGTTCTTGATGGGGCCTCGAAAGGAGGGGTCGTATTTGACTGGCTTCCCTGAGGGACATGAGAAGAGGTGTGGAGGATGAGTCTCTCTCTGCATATCTTGTCCTGCTGAGTCCTCCTAGCCCCAGGATCCTACCCAGGCCTCAGGTGTTTGGAGGGAGATGGGCTAGGGCAGGACTGGCAGGAGGGGAAAACTGGGGAGCAGGAAAGGTAGGATCCAGGCCTGGTCAGCAGCTCAGCAGCTCCCTGGGAGCTCCACCCAGGCTGCCATGGGGAGGGGAAGGAAGGCCTTTATAGTTTCCGGCTCACATCTCAAGGCAGTCAGTCTGGGAAATGGCCTTGGTCCCCTGCCCTACCCTGGCACGGTTCTCCTGAGTCTCCCTTTAGCTGGGATGTGGGACTCCCAGTGGCTCTCACTCCCTCATTCTCATCCCTGCCTCCTCCCTAATCCCTCCCCAGGGACCACACAGACCCACAGCCCCTCAGGGAGGTCATGGCCTCTTCCCCTATCTGCCCCAGGCCCTACCTTACCCTCTGGTTCAAGGCTATGGGGAAAGAAACTGGAGACAAAGGTGTCAACCCCAGCAGGGCCTGGGGAGGGAAGCGGCCCTGTACATCCTCACTCTGGTGGGACCTCAGTCCCCTGGCCACAGTGTGCTCCGGGCTCTGGGCCAGCAGTCAGAGTGACACCTGAGCCCAGCCATAGAGATTGCAGGCACGTTGAGTTCCTGGTCCTCCCTGAGTACACACACAGGGAGGAGGAGGGCTGGGCAGTCAGGGTTCCTTGTGGGCACTGAGGAGGGAGAGCCGAGGGCTGGGCAGGAGTCTGGGAAGGAGCGGGTGGGGTCCACTTTCCCCAGGTGCGCTGGACTCTGTCCCTCCATGGCTCATGGACAATGATTGACCTGAAGCCGCTCCAGGAAGTCTACTCGGGAGTCCTCACTGCCTGCTCCCCTATGGCCCTAAGGGACTCAAGCCTCTCCTCGAGAAGGTCCCTCATAGGGGTTCCTTCCCCTTCAGACCAGAAGACCAGGGGGGCCTCCGCAGGTGAGTCCCCAGCCTTCACTGCTCGTGGGGATCTGGAGGCCAGTCCCCAGCTCCCTCTCTCCTCAGAACCCCAGCCCCTTTTCCTTGCAGATTCTGGAAACAGGCTCCCTGCTGTTTCTCCCCTCAGGCCTCACCCTTCACAGGAACCCCAGGGGCCCTGTCCCTATTCCTCAGAGTACCCCAAGACCAGCTCCTGCTCCTAGCTCCTCACAGAGACCCCTAGGCAGGACCCCAGCCCCCTTTCCACAAAGACCCTCAGCCCCAACTCCTCACAGGGACCCCCAGCAGAACCCACTCCCTCTGCCACTTCTCCCAGAGACCCTGGCAGGCAGAGGCCAGCCCACTCAGGGTCCCCTCACTCCTCAAGGGAGCCGGCAGGCCACAAGCAGCTTTCGCCCTCAGAGACCCAGACTCCAGGCTGAACCTCCTCCTCCTTACAGGGACCCTGGCCTCACTGGTTGCAGGCTCTGCAGCACAGGACACTCCCAGCATCCAGCCCTATTCTGCTCAGGGCCCCAACCTGCCACCTTCCATCTCGGCTTTGTTTCCTAGGGCCCTGCCCTTAGGGACCCAGAGTCCAGGCCTGAAATACCCCCCTCCTCCCAAGGACCTCAGCCCCAACTCTTCAGAGGCACCCAGCTTCACTCCCCATGGGCTCCCCAGCAACAGCCCCAGCCCCCGGGCCCCATCCTCCTCCCAGGACCCTGACTCCCTCCCTCCATGGCTCCCGGTTCCCGGGCCCTCCCCTCAGGGACACAGTACTCTCCTTAGTTCCTCTCCCTGGAGCCAGCCCCAGACACCATTCCCAAAGTACCCGTCCTCCCCTCCCTCCACAGGGTCCCGGGCCTCGCCCCAGTCTCACCGTAGGCCTCGTCATCCTCGTCCCGCTGCTTTCCCCCCATGGCTCAGTCTCCGGAGTGATTGGAGCCCTGGAGACCTGGCGTCTCACCTGCTGCCCGCCCCGCCCTCCCACACGTCACAGCCCCACCCCCGCCTGTGGTCCCCGACACACTCTAGTTCCTTCTTCTCAACTTTGTGCCCAGCGGGCTGGGGAGCTGGAGCCTGGGACGGGGGCTCAGGGCTATTTCCTGGGGGCACTACGGACCACAGTGAACGACCTGGCATGCTCTGATAAGAAAACGCTTTATAATCTCGCAAACTACCTTAACTGCCGTACACTCCCAACACGCTCCCGCCAAAGATTAAAGTGTGGAAATTGGACCTGTTTTTTCCTTTTTGAGATGGAGTTTCGCTCTTGTTGCCCAGGCTGGTGTGCAGTGACTCAATCTTGGCTCACTGCAACCTCCGCCTCCTGGCTTCAAGCGGTTCTCCTGCCTCAGCCTCTGGAGTAGCCAGGATTACAGGTGCCTGCCACCACGCCCAGCAAATTTTTTCTATTTTGAAAGATGGGGTTTCACCAAGTTGGCCAGGCTGGTCTTGAACTCCTGATCTCAGGTGATTCGCCTGCCTTGGCCTCCCAAAGTGCTGGGATTATAGGTGTCAGCCACCGTGCCTGTGAAACTGGATCTTCATAGTGGCCCCCCACCTCCCTGCCCCGCACTGGGCGGCCATCACACCAGCCACACCTGTCCAGCCTGCTTCCCATCCTATTCTGGCCCTTGGACCCACATTCCCTCTAGCCAAGTATGCTTTCTCCCCACCCCAACACAAAAATCGCAGTTTATTACCAAACCCAACATTTATTGAGAACAAAAGGAACCAGTTGGCATAGAGGCCCGACTTCAATTCATCAAACTTCAACTGAGGATGGGGAACACGGGGGGTGGCCAGCCCTGAAGTTGCCCTCCCAGGGAGGAACCAGCTCTGGGAGGGAGGGGCTGTCAGACCTCCAGGGCCTGGCTGGGATCTCTGGTCAGGAATGTGTGAAAGGGTGGTGGGGAGAGAAGATGGCAGCACCCCCAGGCATGGGCTGCGAGCAGCTGGTGGCAGAGGAGGCGGCTGAGCTGTGGCCATCCATGCTGGGGAGAGAGGGTGTGGTCCGTTCTCATGTGTTGACAGGGGGCAGGGAGCCGAGCTCGGGCAGCAGCTCAGGGTGTGGGTCCAGGCGGGCCAGACGGCTCTGCTCCAGGGCAATGGCTTCGGCTGAGTGCTTGCACTTCTCAGAGCCACATTGGCAGGTGAAATATTTGCTTTTGATGTCCCAGAAGCGGTCGCCATAGTCAAACCTGTCAGAGGAAAACAGGAGCTTGTGGGACCTGGACCCAGCCACCAAGAGCCCACCCCGAAGACCCTGTGGATCCTGCTCCCTGAGAGGGACCCGACACCCAACCTATCTTCTCCAGATGGGATCTGAGCCCCTTGTATGTTCTATGGACTTTCAGCATCAGCATTGCCTGGGGACTTGTTAGAAATGCAGAATCCTGGGCCCCATCCCAAGCCTACTGATTCAAAATCTCTCTGGGAGGCACAGGACTGTTTCCCCAAGTCCTCCAGGAAATACTTATGTACACTGAAATCTGAGAAGCTCTGCACTACTCCATGCCTGGACACCAGGTACATGCCAGCCTTCAGGTCCCAGGTTTGCTGCATCTCCCACCCCCTGGCAGAGCCCCTAGAGACCCCTAGAGTCTCACCCTAGCTCCTCCCCAGTCCGGATGTCTCGGGAACTGAAGAAGGCGATGCGTGGAAATCGCAGGTCTTGGTGCAGCATGAAGACCCGGACGGGAATGATGTTGGGGTCACACAGGTGGTTGATGAAGCGGCTGATGTTGCCATAGTAACGGGCATCTATGCAGTACACCTCTCCATCCTGGGGCAGGGGGATGGCACTCTTCACATCTCCCCCGACCCTGCTTGCCCTCCCCACCCACTGACTCCCCAGTCCCTCCTCCCCAGGTTTCCATTTGCTGACTTCCCAGAGGCTCCTGAAAGCCAGCCCTGGGGAGCAGCAGGGTAAGGAGGGTCTCCTGCTCACCTTGTTGTCTAAGTCGAAGAGGTAAGAATCATCCTCTCTCACATCAGCCTCAGCATCAGAGATCAGCTCCCCGACATACCTGTGGGACAGGAATCCATGGTTCTGAAGGTGAGTGTGGGCTATTAGGAGGTGGCTCCAGGCCCCATCTCTCTTCACAAGCCTGTGGAATCTGGAATGGGCAGGGCTGGCAGGTGTGGGGAAGGGAAGGCCTGGAGCAGCAGTGGTGGGCAAGTGAAAGGGCAGCATTCCAGCCTTGACAGAGGAAGCCTTCAGTCAGCACAGAGACAGACAACAAGCTCTGTGGTTAAGGGGATTAATGTGTAGGGGCAGTTGGCCTGGGTGGGGAAGTTCGGGTTTGGACACAGAGAGGTTTGTGTTCCAGGAGCCACCCGGCAGGAATGGGCGATATGGAACAGGAGAGGGGCCAGGACTGCAGGAAGAGCCAGAGGTACAGGAGTGGCAAGGAACTCAAGGCATGATTCGGGGCAAGAGCACCCACACATATCTGGACACCAGAGGGAGGAGAGGAGCCAGCTATCTAAGGAGGGTGAGCAGACATGGGAGATTCAGACACACGGAGAGGACGTGGGTGGGAAGTGACTGTCAAGAGACAGCTTCAGCAGAGTGGGAAGGGCAAAGGCCGATTTTGGCAGGGACAGGCAGTGAGTGGATGGTGGGGAAACTGAGGCCCAGCAGGAAGGGGCTGCTTGCCAGAGAAGTTGAGAGATGACATGATGGAAAGAAACTGGATGGTCTGTTGAACAGGCAAGTATGGTTAGAGGACTATCTTTTTTAAAGGCCAAAGAATGGTCAGGCACGGTGGCTCACGCCTGTAATCCCAGCACTTTGGGAGGCCGAGGTGGGCGGATCATCTGAGGTCAGGAGTTGGAGACCAGCCTGGCTAACATGGTGAAACTCCGTTTCTACTAAAAATACAAAAAATTAGCCGGGTGTGGTGGTGCGCACCTGTAATCCCAGCTACTTGGGAGGCTGAGGCAGGAGAATCGCTTGAACCTGGGAGGTGGAGACTGCAGTGAGCCAAGATTGTGCCATTGCACTCCAGCTTGGGCAACAAGAGTGAAACTCCGTCTCAAAAAATAAATTAAAAAAAAAAAAAAAAAAGAGCCAAAGGAGACTAAAGTAAGATTGAGGGTTGTGGGATGGCAGCCAAGAGAAAGGGGGAGATTACAGATGCTGGGCAGAGAAAGAACTGATGGAGAGGGACAGGCCCCTGAGGAGGTGGACAGATAGGTAGCTGTTATCACCTCCACTCTACAGACAAGAAAAATAAGGCTCAAAGAGGTTAAGTAACTTGGCCAAGAACATCCAGAAGCAGAGAGGGGCTCAAACCCAAGTCTGTTTGTCTCCCAAACTGGCACTTTCTCCAGCTAGGAAGGGCGAGGAGGGGGTGGAGGGGAAGGTAGAGGGTGGAGGTGGAGGGGAGGGAAGACAAGCTCTGTGGTCTGGGCAGAGTGGAGGCAGGTGCCATTCTCAGCTGGGGGGATGGGGGTCAGAGGCGGCTGGCTGCTCAGCTGCAGGAATAGGGGTCAGAGGAGGCTGGCTGGAGAGTGGCCAGATGGAGACATGTGACTCATCAGGGCAGATGGCTGAGAGGGAGGCCTGGCAGTCAGCAGTGGCCATGTATCCCCTTCCCACCAGGTGTTAAGGTGCTCCCGGTGACTTACTCGCAGATGAAGGTCCCCTGTGGGATGGTCTGCAGGGCGCGGACCCCCCAGCCCATCTTGGCTGTTCGGTAGAGCTGTAGCCGCACCCTGGGGGTAGGAGAGATGGCGCTGTTGGGTGGAGGCCCTGGAAAAGCCCCAGGGGCAGGGAGGAAAGGGTGAGGTGGGGAGAGGGTGGGCTGTGGAGCAGGGCCTCACTTGATGCCACTCTGTACGACCCGGTTCTTGCAGTTTCTCCAGCATGAGCACGCCTGGTTACACTCGAAAATCAGCGGAGGCTCAATCTTGTTAAATTCCTGGAGCAATCGCCCATCCTAGGGTGCGGAGGGGAGGATAGTGGTTTCTCTGTGGGGCCCACCTCAGCTGCCCACCCAGGAACCCCAAGACTCTACAGAGACAGGGAAGTTGGGGTTGGGGAGGTCACACAGGCTCTGAGATCCGAGAGCACGAAATGCAGGAGCATCATCCCTGGTTTGCATAGACCTGGGCACACGCCCATCGCTGTCCCAGCCACATCCCAGGATTCCCAGGCCTTGCCCAGTCCTCTCAGTCACTTCCCCCACAGGGTAGGAGGTGAGGGACATGGTCCCAGGGAGCTGGTTTATTGGAGGCTGGCTCCTCTGAAGGAGGGGCCGGGTGTCTGTGGCCAAGGCAAGGGGCACGCACCTTGTCATACCAGCACCGGATGCTGAGCTGGCCGCACAGGCAGTTGGAGCTAGAGCAGTCGTCCACACACGTGCAGTGCTGGGGCGAGGAGGCAGAGGTCAGCTCAACCCCATGATCGGTCTGGGCCCCTCTACTCTTGATGCCCCCTGACCCCCTAACCACTGTCCTTTCTTTGGGGTCCATGTGTTACAACAGTGGGTGGTGATGGTCCTAGGGTGACGGGTAATCAGTATGGTGGTGTCCCCAGGGCTACTGGGAGCTCATATGATACCTTGCTGTGACCTAGGAAAAGGATCCCTCCCCTGGTGGGGATGCGACCCCACACCAGGGATCCCTTTCAGCCAACCCTTCCTTGGCCAGGTGCCTTTGCTGGTTTGAAGCTTGTCCAACTGTACTTGGCAGCTCTCGGTGTCCTTTTGGGGAGGCCCCGGGCCCCCTACTCACCTGCAGGTGGGTGATGTTGCGATCGATGTTCATGGTGGACGTCTCGCAGTTCTCTGAGATGTACTTGTAATCCTCAGGGCAGGGCTCCCCATCCACACCGTTGACACAGGGAATGGGCACGTTCTCATAGCCCCGAGCCACGTCCCTGCAGAAGACGGGAAGAAGGGGCTGGGAAGCTGGAAAAGGGGGTGAGGAGCTACTCCAGGTATAAGGAAGAGAGTTGGGGAGGTTCCTGGGGCTGGGGGCAGGGGAGTAAGGTTGCCAGGTAAGATGCAGGACAGCGAGTTAACATAGAATTTTAGATAAACAAGAAATAGCTTTTTAGTATGTCCCAAAAATTACACAGGACATTCTCACACTAAAAAAGTATGCATCTGTGCATCTGAAATTCCAGTTTAACTGGGTGTCTTCTATTTTTATTTGCTGTATCTGGCAACCCTAGTGGGGAGGGGGCCTGTGGGTGGTTCTGGGGATTCAGTGGTGCATGGGGAGGGGTTGGGGAATGTTGTGAGGATGCAATGGAGCCTGGGGAGGGTATGGGTGGGGAGGAGGTGGTCTTGGGTGCAGAGAGGGGCCCAGGGCTCACCGGCAGATGATCTTCTCTGTGCGGATGGCCCGATTTCCCACCCCAAGTCGGAGCTTGCGGTTGAGTTGAAGCGCAAACCACACGTCGGAGCGCTCGGGAGTCAGGTCCCATGCTGTGTCCCCCTCTTTGTTCCGCAGCTCAGGGTTGGCCCCACGTGACAGGAATAACCTGAAGAGGGGACAGGATGCCCAATGCAGGGTCTGAGGCTGCAAGAAGTGGGGGCAGGGGCATCAAGGGCGGGGCAGGGGCTCACAGCACGCAGTCATGGTAGCTCTCCCGAGCTGCGATGTGCAGGGGGGTGTCCCCATGGTAGTTGACAGCATGGAGGTCACAGCGCGCATTCAGAAGGACTTCGGCGATGGCGGCGCTGCCCGTGAAGGAGGCCCAGTGCAGGCAGATGTTCTCCTCCTGTGGAGGTAGGAGGGGAACAGATGAGGTGCAGGCAGCTGGGCCCTTGAATCCAGCCTCCACCTTGCTCAGGGGCCTGGGGCTGCCCTACCTCAACCAAACGCTCACTCACGTTGTCAGTGAGGGTGACGTCGGCGCCCCGCGTCAGTAGCATGCGGATCACCTCGATGTGCTTGTGCTCTGCAGCCCAGATGATGGGCGTCCACCCCCCACTGTCCTGTGGGTGGGAAGGGAGTGAGGGTGGGGGCAGCTGGCCCTGCTCACCAAAGCAGCAAATGGTCAAGATTGGCTGTGTGTGTGAATCCCAGCTCCACCATTCACAAGCTGTGGGACCCTGGGTAAGTCACTTAACGTCTCTGGGTCGCAGTTTCTTCATCTAAAAAATGGGACTAGTAGGGTCGGGCGCGGTGGCTCATGCCTGTAATCCCAGCACTTTGGGAGGCCGAGGCGGGCGGATCACGAGGTCAGGAGATGGAGGCCATTGTGGCCAACACGGTGAAACCCTGTCTCTACTAAAAAATAGAAAAAATTAGCTGGGCGTGGTGGCAGGCGCCTGTAGTCCCAGCTACTAGGGAGGCTGAGGCAGAATGGCGTGAACCCGGGAGGCGGAGCTTGCAGTGAGCCAAGATCGTGCCACTGCACTCCAGCCTGGGCGACAGAGCAAGACTCCGTCTCAAAAAACAAACAAACAAAAATGGGACTAGTAGCGTCTACCATCTGATGCCAGAGAGAAAATAAAGTAATTGTTCTCTTTCCAAAAAATACAGCCAGGAGCTGGTCATGGAGGTGCATGCCTGTAGTCCCAGCTACTCATGTGACTGAGATGGGAGGGTTGCTTGAGCCCAGGATTTCGAGGCTGCAGAGAGCTATGACTGTCTGTGAACTGCTACTGTACTTCAGCCTGGGTGACATAGCAAGACCCTGTCTCTTAAAAGAAAAAACGAACAAAAATTTCCTAAGTCTGCCCACTCAAAAGTCCTAGAAGCAGCGACAACCCAATAACAATAAACACTCCTAGGAACATAGATTGTATTCTCTAAAAAATGCTTCTGGCCGGGCGCTGTGGCTCACGAGGTCAGGAGTTCAAGATCAGCCTGGCCAATATGGTGAAACCCCGTCTCTACTAAAAATACAAAAATTAGCCGGGCATGGTGGTGGGCGCCTGTAATCCCAGCTACTCGGGAGGCTGAGGCAGGAGAATGGCGTGAACCTGGGAGGCGGAGCTTGCAGTAAGCTGTGATCACGCCATTGCACTCCAGCCTGGGCAACAGAGTGAGACTCCGTCTCAAAAAAAAAAAAAAAAGTTTCCCATAAAGGAAGCAGAGTTTCTTAGAGAAATGGTGGATTCTGAGTTGGGGGCAGGAAATGTGCTGAAAGGTCAGGAGGCTCTCAAAGGCCACTGGGCCACTGGGTCATGTCACAGCCACAGAGGCCTCTTAAAGGGGCTTCTTCTGGACAATGATGGAATAATTCAAAGACTGAGAAGAATGCCAATAAATGACTAAAACACATCCAATGTATGACAACCCAAGAGTTAATAAAAAGCCTCACTGGACACTTTCAGAGATTAAGACAGGAACTGATTATTCTGAAACTTGATAAAGAGAAAGAAACGAGAAAGAAAAGAATGAAGAGAAATACAAATGAGGAAGAAGAAAGCAATGAGGACAGACACGAGCAGTGTGAGGTCAGATGTAGGAAAGGCGGCCCAAAGCCTGAGGCCAAGCCAAGGAACCCAGGCACCAGGGACCCAGAGGGGCTGGGCTGGGTGGGCCGCTGACCTGGGCGTTGACGTCCACCTGTCCTGTGCTCAGCAGCAGGCTGACCATCTCCAAGTTCCCGATTTTGGCTGCGTGGTGGAGGCAGGTGGAACCGTCCTCCTCCTGAGGGAGACACGGGCAAATGAGCCTTTGGGCTGGCACCCCAAACCTGGTCCCTGACTCCGGGGGCCACGCCCTGCTGCCTGCGCGCACACCTTGCTATAGACACAGCCACCACGCTGCACCATGTAACGGGCTACCTCCAGGTGGTTGTTCACCACGGCCTCCATCAGTGGCGTCCGCTGCTGTTTGTCCACTGCATTTATGTTGGCTCCAGCCTGTGAGGGGGCAGGAGGGCTGGCACCAGGGAGGCATGGGGCAGGGGAGGGGCCTAAGGGCCTGGTGAATGAGGCATGGGGCCGGGCCCGTGCTGACCTGCAGCAGCACATGGCAGATCTCCACGGAGCCCTTCTGGGCGGCTGCATGCAGGGGCGTGCGCTTGCTCTGCTGGTCGCTCTGGAAGTTGGGGTCCAGGTTGTCCACTGCGGGGAGAGCCCGCCACACCGGGAGAGGGAGGGACAAGTGGTAAGCAAGCTAGGGGGCAGGTGGCACTTCTTTCAGGAAGGCTTCTCAGGGCCCCAAGCTGGATCAGGGCCCCTCCTGGCATTCTCCGAGCTTGCCTCCACCACAGCATTTATCAGAATAAGGAGTCAAAGGCATCAGCTCTGCCTGAATTCAAACCCTGCCTTGCTTCTCAGTACCACTGTGCACTGTGCAAGGTCCCTAACCTCTCTGTGCAAGCCAAGGCTAACAGGTATAAGCACTCAGAACAGGACCCAGCACCTATGAGTCACCACATCCCCATCGTTATGGGTTACATGTGTCTTTTCCCCACCACACTAAGTCCTTCAGGGCAAGGACTGTGTCCTTCACGACTGTACTCCTGGCCCTGTACCCAGTGCCTGGTATATACATGAAGCTTGGTCAAGGTCTGCTGAAGGAATGGGTGGCACTCACACAGCATCAGGATCACCTTCTGCAGCTCGCCCTGCTTCACGGACAGGTACAACTGCCGAGGGTGGAAACGGAGCTTCTTCCGCCTGCCAAGGGAGCACGGGAGCGGGGAGAGAAGGGGAGCTCCTCAGATTCCAGCATCAGCCTCGACACCACTCCTCTGGCCTCAGCCCCAGTTGCTGTGCCTGAGCAACTCCCCACTCACCTCTCTGACTCCTGGATGACCAGGGCCTTTTCCAGGGCCTCCCGGCCTGGCCCCAGTGGCAGCCCCACGGCTGAAAGGCAGCCCCCATTGGGCAGGGTCAGGGAGGGCCCTGAGCTGTCAATGGTGTCAGCCAGGGGATCGCAGGGCGGGCGCCGGGGTTCCCCATGCCCTCGCATCCGGGCACTGTGGAAGAAGGAGCTCATGTCCAGGAGCAATAGGGGTGGGGGAGGGAACAGACAGTACAGAAGGGGGAGGCCAGTACCTGGGCTGAGAAGTGTCTGCTCTCCCGGGGACATCCTGGGACAGGGGTGGGGGTGCAGGAGCTGCAGTGCCGGCCGGTGGGGTCACCCCGTCACCCCGGGGGATGGTCACCTCTTGAGCTTCAGAAGCATCCTCCCCACAGTGGGGACAGAAGACCATCCCATTCAGCTGAGACACACAGGCCTTGTGGAAGCGGTGGGCCACACGGAAGTCAGGGTGGCACTCCAGGAAGGTGCCCTGGGAGCAGGGAAACAACATGGTCAGGTTACTGGGGCCCCCTCTGCCACAGGGCATGCTACCTGTCTGCCCCACTGGTCACTCACCGCCGTGCAGAAGTAGCCGCAGCCCGGGCAGCAGTGGTGTTTGACCATGCGGGCGCGGTGGGTCTCACAGAGCACCATCAGGGCCACACGGCTGGATGGCCTCATGGTCTCCCGCTTGAGGATGGCGGCATTGCAGCCTGACAGCTGTGCGCAGTGAGGATGGGTGAGAAGAGAGCGTGAGGCTGGGGCCGGGGACTGGACGCCCTGGCACCTCTCCCACCAGCCCACGGCCCCACCTCTCCGTCCACACTCTCAGTGGCCATGCACTTGTGCCCCGCCCTCTCGCTGATGCGGTCAATCTTGGGTGCCTCCATGCGGCAGCTGCACAGGGGCAACTCCTCAAACCCTCGCTCTGTCTCCAGCGAAGATGTGTCATTGGACACCCCTTGGATGGAGGAAAAGAGGAGCTGAGGGAGGCTCTGCACCTCACCTACTGGGACCCCTGGCGGGTCCTCTCACTCCCTCCCTACCCCACCCCGCCATGCCCCAGAACCCCTAAAGCCTGGCCATGGACACCCCGGCTCTGGCGTGGTTCCCCTCCTTCCCTTTCCCTCCTGCCCTGAGGTCGCCCCCTAGTGGCTCCCTGTCCCGGCAATTGGCAATTACCAGCGTGGTTGGGGGAGAGGGTCCCCTCGCTGGGCAGCTCCAGGGACCCCAGAGGGACCTCCATGTACTCACTGGGGCCTGAGGAGCCCACACCATTCACTCCTGACACAGAGACAGAGAGAGTGAGAGTGCGAGCTCACAGGTGCCTGGACGCGTGGGTACATGCAGGTGGACATGCGAGAGCGTGTGTGTGCGTGCACACACTCTGGGGGGCCGGGCGGGGGCTGGAGGGCACCCAAAAGCAGCAGAGCCTCCTCACCTCGTGGCTCCTTGGCCCGCGGAGGCTCCCGCTTGCGCCGTTTCCGAGACGGCTTCACCCATGGGCTGTCTTTTCGCCATTTCTTCTTGGCCTTGCGCCGGCCACTGGAACCACTCTGGGAAGGGGGAGGAGGAGGAGTTAGGAACCCTCACCCCCAGGGGCCCCCCCAACACCTTCAGGACCAGACCTCCAGCCCCATAGTCTCCCACTCCTCTGGAGATATCAGCCTCCGTCTCTTACCCTATCTGACTGATTCCCTGACTCCTCATCTTCCTCTTCTTCTTCCTCTTCCTCCTCCTCTTCCTCTTCTTCTTCTTCCTCCTCTTCCTCCTCCTCCTCTTCACTTAGTTGTTCAGTTAGAGCTTCAACTTCAGACTGGGAGAGAGGCAGAACAGACATATCCAACCCCCAGGACTCAGACAATGAGGTGAGTAAAGAAAACCACCACCACCATTGCCCCCCGCCACTACCCACGGATGGCTGCTGGGGATAAGTGTGGGTAGCAGAGGAGACAAAGGGCCACATAAAGAGAGGGTGCATGGAATATTACACAGCAGTGAAAAAGTTACAGACAGCAATGTGCACAGATCTTGGTAATGTGATATTAAGTTAAAAAACAAAAAGCAAGTACCAGAAGATAAACATACTTTGATACCCCTTTTATGATGTTCATAAACAGGCAAGACCACCAATGGTTGCTAAAAACACTAGACACAAAGCTCATGAGAAACTTTATATGAAAGGTTCAGGCTGACATCACCTGAACCCACTGGTCAATCTTATCACTAACAAGAAAAATGACCAGATTAGATGTTCCATGCATCCTGATGTGATGTGGCCAGAAGCACTTGCACCCACTGTCAAGTCTTCTTGGCACCTGAAGCTGATTCCGCCTCTAGATCTATCAGTTTACAAGAAATATGGGCAGAGAGGATGTGTCAATCTCCACCCAATCAGCCAACTCCTAAATGTGAAAAATTCTGTAGGACAACTGAGCTGGTTTCTTTGACAAATAAATGGCAAAAAAAAAAAATCTTTCTTATTTATTTATTGAGTTTTGCTCTTGTTGCCCAGGCTGCATTGCAATGGTGTGATCTCAGCTCACTGCAACCTCCACCTCCTGGATTCAAGCAATTCTCTTGCCTCAGCCTCCTGAGTAGCTGGGATTATAGGCACCCGCCACCACACCCAGCTAATTTTCGTATTTTTATTAGAGATGTGTTTTCACCATGTTGGCTAGGCTGGTCTCAAACTCCTGACCTCAGGTGATCCACCTGCCTCCCAAAGTGCTGGGATTACAGGCGTGAGCCACCACGCCTGGGCCAAAAAATTTTTTTTTAGAAGATGAGGAAATCAGGCCAGGTGTGGTGGCTCACGCCTGTAATCCCAGCGCTTTGGGAGGCCGAGGTGGGCAGATCACGAGATCAGGAGTTTGAGACCAGCCTGGCCAACATAGTGAAACCCTGCCTCTACTAAAAATACAAAAAATTAGCTGGGCATGGTGGTGGGTGCCTGTAATCCCAGCCACTTGGGAGACTGAGGCAGGAGAATTGCTTGAACTCAGGAGGTGGAGCTTGCAGTGAGCCAAGATCACGCCACTGCACTCCAGCCTGGGTGACAGTGTGAGACTCCATCTCAAAAAACAAAAACAAACAAACAAACAAACAAACACAAAGAAGATGGGGAAACCTAAATACTGAGAGAGACCTAAGACAAAAAAAAATTTTTTTTTTTTTGAGACGGAGTTTCGCTCTTGTTGCCGAGGCTGGAGTGCAATGGTACGATCTTGGCTCACTGCAACCTCCACCTCCCAGGTTCAAGCGATTCTCCTGCCTCAGCCTCCCGAGTAGCTGGAATTACAGGCACGTACCACTACGTCCAGCTAATTTTGTATTTTTTTCAGTAGAGACGGGGTTTCTCCATGTTGATCAGGCTGGTCTCGAACTCCCAACCTCACGTGATCTGCCCGCCTTGGCCTCCCAAAGTATTGGGATTACAGGCGTGAGCCACTGTGCCTGGCTGACCTAAGACAAATGTTAATCAAATCAAGGTGTGGGCCTCATTTGGATCTTGACAAAAACCATTTGTGAGAGCTGAGGAAATGTGAAGACTGACAGGATATTTGATGGTATTAAGAAATCGGTAAGTTTTTTTAGGTGTGAAAACAGTAGTGTAATGATGTTGAACGACAAAAAGAGGCCTTATATTTACAAATCTATATGGATATATGTTTAGGTAAAATGATATGAGGTCTGGGATTTGCTTTAAAATAACCTAGTAGGTGTGTGTGCTGGGAGATGTACAGATGGGTCAAGATGGACTGTGTACTGATAATGGCTGGAGCTGTGTATTGGGTACATGGGGGCTCCCTATTCTACTCTTTTGATTATGCTTGCAAGTTTTCATGATAAAATGTTAAATAAAAGGCAAAATCAGAGAGACTAAACATTCTACTGTGTAGGCAAACATATAAGATAAAACCAGACAAAGAGCAACGAAATAAGCAAATAAATGACAATGCAATGCTTTTGAATTTTATATAAACAGCATAACGTATGTTTTAAAAAAGTGCTTTCTGGTCATTTCTTTTTTTGTTTTCTTTTTTTAAACAGTACATGTCTGTTAAATGGTCATTTCATTAGCTGATTAAAAAAAAAAGAATACTAAATCCCATGTGCAGGGTGGTGGCCACCTTTGTGGATGAAACGGGCAGAATACACATTGAAAATGAGTTACAGCTGGGCGCGGTGGCTCACAGCTGTAATCCCAGCACTTTGGGAGGCCAAGGTGGGTGGATCAACTAAGGTCAGGAGTTAGAGACCAGCCTGGCCAACACAGGGAAACCCCGTCTCTACTAAAAATACAAAAATTAGCCGGGCGTGGTGGCAGGTGCCTGTAATCCCAGCTACTCGGGAGGCTGAGGCAGGAGAATTGCTTTAACCCTGGAGACAGAGGTTGCAGTGAGCCCAGATCGTGATATTGCGCTCCAGCCTGGGCGACAGAATGAGATTCCGTCTCCCCCCACAAAAAAAAGGAGTTATAGACAGCATGGGGCAATGACTTAGTGGATATTCAGAAGATAAAAAGGACAGAAAGCAGAAAAACAGGGAACAAGGAGGACTGGACAGTGAGCCCCAGCCCTGGGGGAGCACCGGCGGGGAGGGCAGACCAGCTCTGTCTCACCTTGCTGTCGGAGTCCACGCGCTCATCCACAGAGTAGGAATCATAGTAGAGACTGAAGTCATCACCCACCACCGTCTCCCACTCCTCCAGGGACCCGGGGTCCCCTTTCGTCAGGGTCACTTCTCCTGAACGCCGGGCAGAACCTAACTCCTCCGACTAGAAAAAGATCAGAAAAATTGAGGCCACTGACACCCTGCGCATTTCTACTGAGGATGGGATGCAGCCCCACCTCTGACCCTCCCTCAGAGCAGCCCCCGAGGGGTAGAGGCTCTGCCTCTGCTGCTTACCAGGCCACCTCCTGAGTTCAGCTTCCTCCTTTTGGCCAGATCTGGAAGAAGAGAGAGAATGGTGTGGGGCCTATCACCGAAACCTTCAGAACAGACCACATCAAGCCACCGGGGGTGGGGGATGGGACTGACCTGAGGTCACCTTTCCCAGTGAGTGGACATCATCACTCATGCGGAAATGCTGTATTTCAGGGGGCCGCTTCTCAGGGACCGGGGGCTGTGGGCCGAGAGGGAGCACACTGAGGGTCAGAGAGCACCTACAGTTTTGCCTGGGTTAGCCTGGAGCCCCAGGCGGGGGTGGGGTAGTGAGCCACACCTCCAAATGCCATGTGAGGCTCCAGTAGCCACAAACTGGCAACCACGGGTGCTATTTCCTCAGAGGAAGAGTGTCAAGCACACTAACACTCACTCATCTCTGCAACCATGCAGAGCAGGCCCTTTTCCATTTTACAGATGAGAAAACAAAGCTTAATAAAGTTAAAAGACCTTTTATATGTGGCCATATACACAGCAGGACTGTTTACAACAGCTGAGGTGCGGAAGCAACTCAAGTGCCACTGACAGATGAATGGATAAGCAAAATGTGGCATTTATACACAATGGAATAACATTCAGCCATAAAAAGGAAAGATATACTTTTTTTAAGAGATAAGGTCTCATTCTGTTACCCTGGATGGAGTGCAGTGGCATGACTATGGCTCACTTCAGCCTCGAACTGGACTCAAGCCATTCTCCTGCCTCAGCTTCCTGGGAAGCTGGGATTACAGGCACATGTCACAATGCCTAACTAATGTCTTCTTAATTTTTTTTTTTGGTAGAGAAGAGGTCTTGCCATGTTGCCCAGGCTGGTCTTGAACTCCTGGTGTCAAGTGATCCTCCCCAGAAAGTACGGGATTACAGGCGTGAGTCACTGGGCCTGGCCTTTGAAACATTCTTTTAAACTTCTTTTAGAGATGGGGTCTTGGTATGCTGCCCAGGTGAAAGGAAAGAAATTCTGACATGGTACAACATAGATGAACCTTGAGGACATTATGCTAAGTGAAATAAGCCAGTCACAAAAGGATAAATACTGTATGATTACACTTAGATAAAGTACTTACTCAAATTTATAGAGAAAGAAAGGACAGTGGTCCTTGCCAGGGGCTAGGGGGTGGAGGGAATGGAGAGTTATGTTTTAATGGGTACAGAGTTTCAGTTTTACAAGATGAGTTATGGTGACTGATGATTGCACATGATGAAAGTATTTAATACCATTAAATTATATACTTAAAAATGTTTTTTATTTTATTTTTAAATTTTTAGATGGAGTCTCACTCTGTTGCCCAAGCTGGAGTGCAGTGGCGCAATCTCAGTTCACTGCAGCCTCTACCTCCCAGGTTCAAGCGTTTCTCTCACCTCTGCCTCCTGAGTAGCTGGAACTACAGGCACATGCCACCACGCCCGGCTAATTTTTGTTTTGTTTTTTTTTTTGAGACAGAGTTTTGCTCTTGTTGTCCAGGCTGGAGTGCAATGGCAGGATCTCGGCTAACTACAACCTCTGCCTCCTGGATTCAAGCGATTCTCCTGCCTCAGCCTCCCAAGTAGCGGACTGTTACAGGCATGTACCACCATGCCCGGCTAATTTTGTATTTTTAATAGAGATGGGGTTTCACCATGTTCGTCCGGCTGGTCTCGAACTCCTGACCTCAGGTGATCCACCTGCCTTGGCCTCCCAAAGTGCTGGGATTACATGCGTGAGGCACCCCGCCTGGCCTAATTTTTGTATTTTTAGTAGAGACAGGGTTTCACTATGTTGGCCAGGCTGGTCTCAAACTCCTGACCTCAGGTGATCCTCCCGCCTCGGCCTCCAAAATGCTGAGATTACAGGCGTGAGCCACTGCGCCTGGCCTAAAATTGTTTTTTAGATGGTAAATTTTACGTGACACTAGTCCCCTCTTATCCAGTTCATCAGCAGTGATGGTGGCATATTGTTAGAATTGTGCTATTTTTTTTGAGTCTCGCTCTGTTGCCCAGGCTGAACCGCAGTGGCGCGATCTTGGCTCACTGCAAGTGATTCTCCTGCCTCAGCCTCTCGACTAGCTGGGATTACAGGCGCACGCCACCACACCTGGCTAATTTATTATTATTATTATTATTATTTTAGTTAGAGACGGGGTTTGGACATGTTTACCAGGCTGGTCTCGAACTCCTGACCTCAAGTGATTGCCGGCCTTGGCCTCTGAAAGTGTTGAGATTATAGGCAAGCCACGCCTGGCCTACTGTTAGGATTACGCTATTATGTTATTATTGTTGTTAATCTCTCACTGTACCTAATTTATAAATTCAATTTTCCTTTTCTTCCCTATTCTTTACAAAATGAATTGCAACTATAAAAATTAATGTTTATCATAGTGAGAAAGGAAAGGTAGCTCATAGCAACCTGTGCTATGTGAAGCAGGCAAAATTGATCAGGCTCAGCGAGAAGTCAGCATGGAACGGTTAGGGCCCATGCCTGGAGGCAACTGCTTAAAGGCATTTTGTACCTGACTAGGGTGCTGCTTCACCCATTATCTTCATGTGCCTAATATCTGTGAGACAAAGAACAATGTATAGCAGATCAATAGCTTGTTATTCTAATGTAAACTGGTAAACAATTTAGGAACTGCCTCTTCTTTTCCTTTGTTATTTCTTCAATCTTTTAAAAAATTTTTATCTTTTTTTTTTTCTTTTTGCGGCTCCTTCCAGAGCAGGGCTAACTCCTACGCAGTGTGCCCAGAGTCAGCCTGTTTTTTTTCAATATCTTCACGTCATCCAATCTTCTTTTCCTTTAAAAACCTACTTGTGGGCTGGTTGTGGTGGCTTGCACCTGTAATCCCAGCACTTTGCGAGGTCAAGGCAGGAAGATTGCTGAAGCCCAGCAGTTTGAGACCAGCCTGGGCAACATAGTGAAACTGTCTTCAAAAACAAAACAAAACAAACAAAAAAAACCCTACTTATAACTGCTGCTAATCAGAGTGTATTTTCACGGCAACTTGAATCTTTGCTCCTAAAGGCTGTCCTCAAAACCTGACCAAATATACTTTACTTAATGTTAAGTTTGCCTCAGTTTTTTCCTTTAGGTCAACAATAGGTATGACCCAAGAACCCTAGAACTTGGTCATAAAGCTTCTGGTGCCCTTGTCACTTCCCTCCTCTATTATTTCTGTGGCCCTCATCTCCTTTCCCACTGGGATTCCCAGGAAAAACTTTACAAATAGAGCAGTGACAGATGAGTTCCCCAAGGGCTTGCTTTGAGGTAGAAAGGAAGAGTGGTTTGAAATTCCCTTACCTTGTCATTATCATAAGAGTAATTAAGACATTAACTATATAATTGACTCTTTAACATCAAACTTTCACCACCCAAGAATGTAAACTGCAGGAAGAGAGGAACCTGTCTGTTGGTTCACAGATCAAGCACAGCCTAATATTTGACACACAGCAGCCCCTTGCTTAAATATGTGAATGAGTAAATGGAGTAGAAGCCTTAAGTGAAACTGTAAAAGAGCTCACCAAAGGTTTATGGTTGATTATCCCATCTCTCCCATCCCACTCACCTGTCCATTTCCTGGTTTGGACATGGTTTTGCGGGCTCGGTGGACCTTGGGCTGTCCCTCTGGGCTCGTGGTGGCTGGAGGGGGTTCAGACCCTGCTGCTGCAGCTCCCTGGGCTCCTGGCATACTCAGTAGCCTCATAGCCAAACTCTGGACAGATGGAGGTGATTTTCCCGCCCCTGTCATTGACATCTTGGCCCGGCTAGGACAGGAACCCCCCTTGCTGGGGGAAGAGGGGAATGACTTTGTGGCATGGCCTAGAAAACAAGCAAGCAAAAGGCAAGATAAGAAAGAAGGCAAGAGTCAGAAATTTCCCACCAACCCCCCAGGCTACCCAGCCTCTCACCCAGCAGGATCCGGCCCCCACGGAGGTCCCCATCTCCCTCAAGATTCTCAGATTCATCCCCAATGAGTGGTGTAGCCCCTACAGGGGTGTCAGCCCCCTCATCACCAACAGTGACAGTGACAGAGGCTGGAGATGAGGGGCCAGCAGGCTCCAGGGAGTCGGGGTTGGCCTTGGGCAGGGTTTCTTCACTACGAGGGGTGTCCCCCAAAGAGCCATGAACTGTAGAGGAAGAGAAAAAGTTCAGAGCTAAGGGCTCAGGAGATCCTGTGTTTAGGGAAGGTGACGGTCCAATTGGGGCCCGTTTTAGCTGCACTCACCTCTCTCGGTGGCTCCTCTGGTTTCCTTCTCCAGCAGCAGCGCCCCCATCTCAGCGGGGGCCTCCCCCTGGGAGGGGAGACAAGGGACAGGAGGGCTGGTCAGCCCAGTAGAGAGTTGGGGGGTCCAGGATGCCTGGGCCCTGGGAAGAGAGAGTAGGCTCCGGGGCCTACCTCTTCCTCTGTGGGGCCCCCCCCTTCCGCGGCCTCGGCTGCCCGGAGGGGCCGCACGACCCCTCCCCCGGGCCCGCATCAACCCCCTCCCTCTCGGTAGACCCCGCATCTCTGGGGCCGAGAGAAGAGGAGGGGGAGGGGGCGGGGCCTCCGCGCCCCGGCCCCGCCCCCTCCTCCCGGCTGCACGCGCCGCTCCCCCTTTGTCCCCCAGGCCGCGGGGACCCCGGGCACCAACCCCTCCAGCACCCGCTGCCCCCCAGCCCGGTGGACGGCCCCTCGTGCCCCTCACGCGTGCTCCTGGGGCCCCGGCGCCCGTCGCCCACTCAGGGGCAGCCGGCGGCTGCACGCGCGCCTCCGTGCCCACTCCCCCCACCTCCCACACCCTGGTCCCCTCATCCGCCCCCGGTGCTGGCCCCCTGGATTGCTGCAAGTCCCGCCCGGGCCCCCCGGCCCCGTTGCACCCCCGGAGCATTGCACGGGCGCGCGCTTCCCCCGGGCGCGCGCGCGGGCATGCACCCGCCTCTCCCCCTCCCCTTCCGCACCTCGGCGGCCGCCGCCGCTGCAGCTCCCGCCGCCGCCGCCATCGCCGCTTGCGCTGGGGGCCGAGCCGGCGCGCGGCCGCCCCGGGTCACGTGGGCGAGGGAGGGAGGGCGAGGAGGAGCCTTAAAGGAGCCGCTACATGCTTTTTGGCC
>NT_167244.2:3405379-3420263 GCF_000001405.40 Homo sapiens
GGCCAACATGGCGAAACCCTGTTTCTACTAAAAATACAAAAAATTAGCTGGGTGTGGTGGCACGTGCCCGTAATCCCAGTTACTCGGGAGGCTGAGGCAGGAGAATTGCTTGAACTTGGGAAGCGGAGGTTGCAGTGAGCCGAGATCGCGCCATTGCACTCCAGCCTGGATGACAAGAGCAAAACTCCATCTCAAAAATAAAAAAGAAATATTTTGATAACTGTCTATAAATATAATGTTTCCTTTGTAATCCTATACAGCTTATTTTACAGATTTAAAAACATTGCCTTCAGGTGGGGTAGGGGTTTCACCAGATGCCACAGCACAACAATCATGGAGAACCTGTGCCCAGGAAGCCATGAGGGGCAGGAAGGAGCCCAGAGCAAGAGTGAGGCAGCCTCCTGGAGAGATGAAAACTCTCCAGGGCTGGGATGGAATGCAGTGCAGGCAGGTGGCAGAGGACTCCTGAGAAGGGACTCAGGATGTAAAGCACTTCGCCTCAACAAAAAAGGGCAGAAGCAGGAGGTGGCAGCTGTGTCCAAGTCACAGCAGGGTTGTAAAGAGAAGGGGTGGAAACAGCTGTGGGCAGTCGGAGAGGGGGAGAGAAAGTCTGTGGCTGGATTTAGGCCAAATGGAAATAAGACATTCCCCTGGGCGGGGGGCAGAGTGGAGATGGGGAAGGAGCTGGAGGGCTGAGAAGGCTCTAGCCCTGGGAGGAGTAAAGGGGTCAGGGAACAGAAAGACTGGCAGGGTCACCGAGCCAGGGCCTGAGGGGATCTAGCCCCTCAGTGAGGGTGCGGTGGTACCAAGGCAGGGCTGGAAGAAGGGCCATGGGGTGGGGGAGCTCTGGGTAACCAGAGATGAGGACTGAGTCCCCCCATTACTCACCCGTCACGATGACCACAGACAGGGGGCCCATGCGTTGCCCATCATGTAGTCCATACATGTTCATCTTATATTTTCTCTCAGGCTCCAGGTTGTAGACTGTGACCTCTCGCTGGTCTGCCGCCACCGGCACCACCTGGGGCTGCCCGTCCTTGTCCTTGTACTGGACTATGAAGGAGTCAAACTGGCCCTCGGGGACTGTCCAGGAGAGGCCCACAGAGTTGGGGGTCACATCTGTCACTGTCAGCTCTCCTAGGCGTGGCTCCAGCGGGGACTCAGTGGCTGGAGGGGTCTCTTCTTGTTGTGGGGCTGGGACAGAGATGGTAGGGGGCTGTTAGTAAAGAATCCCCCTTTTCTTATAGTAATGATGTCTAGTTATTTATTTTTTATTTTTTATTTTTGAGATGGAGTCTCGCTGTCACCCAGAGCAGTGGGCGACCTCGGCTCACTGCAGCCTCTGCCTCCCGGGTTCAAGCGATCCTCCTGCCTTAGCCTCCCAAGTAGCTGGGACTACAGGCGTGCGCCACCATGCCTGCCTAATTTTGTGTGTGTGTGTATTTTTAGTGGAGACGGCATTTGCCATGTTGGCCAGGCTGGTCTCAAACCCCTGACCTCAGGTGATCCACCTGCCTCAGCCCCCAAAGTGCTGGGATTACAGGTGTGAGCCACCACACCCAGCGATGTCTGTTGCATTTGTGGAACCCGCATGATGGTTTTGATGTAAAAGCGCATTGATCTGAACATCTGTCTGGTCAACAGTCCTTCACTAGGTCCCTGCTCGGTGTCTGAGGCTGCATTTGTTGGGGGAGAAGAGTATCAACCATCACTGACACCCTGGGAGAGCGCTGAAATTCCATCTATATGCCAATGACTCCAGATTTACACCCTCTGTCCAGACCTCCCCTGAACCCCAGACTAGTGTTCGTGCAACGTCTTCCTTGGAGGCCTACTTGTGTGTCAAACTCAACAAGTCCAAAACTGAGCCTCTGAGCTTCCTGACACCTGCTCCCGCCACAGCCTCCCCACCTCAGTAAGATTACAACTTTTTTTTTTTGAGACGGAGTTTCGCTGTTGTTGCTCAGGCTGGTGTGCGATGGCGCCCTCTCGGCTCACCGCAACCTACGCCTCCTGGGTTCAAGCGATTCTCCTGCCTTAGCCTCCTGAGTAGCTGGGATTACAGGCATGTGCCACCACGTCCGGCTAATTTTGTATTTTCAGTAGAGATGGGGTTTCTCCACGTTAGTCAGGTTGGTCTTGAACTCCCGACCTCAGGTGATCCGCCCGCCTCGGCCTCCCCAAGTGCTGGGATTACAGGCATGATCCTCCACGCCTGACCAGGATTACAACTTCATTCTTCCAGCTGCTCAGATCTAAACCGCCAGAGTCATCCCCGAGTCCTCTCTTAAACTCCACATCCGCCCTGTGGGTATCCGCCTGTTGTCACTACCTTCAGAGTCTGACCCCTCCTTGCCACCTCCAAGCACCACTGGCTCCTCCTGGATTATCACAACATTCTCTCAGGTCATCGCCTTCTGCCCTCACCCCCCTTTAGTCTGTTGGGTCTGCAGCCAGAAGGATCCTGTTAACACATTAGCCAGAGCTGGTTCCCGCAGTGGCTTCTACCTCACTCAGGGTGAAATCCAAGTCCTGCACTGGCCTCTGAGGTCCCATATTCATCTCTTAGATCATTCCCTATTGCCTGCCCTCCTCCAACTCCACCACAAAACATACTGCATTCCTCACTGTCTGCAGACATCTGGGGCTGCTTCTCGCCTGCCAGTCTCTGCATTTGCTCTTCCTTCTGTCTGGGATGCTCTTTCCCCAAAGGCCTAGGTGGCTGTCCTCTCACCTCCTTCAGGGCTTTCCTCAGACACTGCCCTCGCAGTGAGGCCCTTGCTGTCTCCCTACTAGGCTCTGCTTTTCCCCACCACTCATCACTGTCACATCCGGTGCCACTGACATATTTGTGCAATTTGTTGCCTGTCCCTCTCCACTAGAATGTGAGCTCCTCAGGCAGGAGCTCTGCTTTATTCACTGCTGTGTCCCAGTCCCTGGCACACAGTAGGTGCTCCACAGATGTCTGTAAAATAATGAGTGGTCTACAGGTCTGGGCTCAGGACCTGCAGATCCCCACCACTCCCGCATGAGGAAGCACTCATTAGTGAGCAAACTAGAAGGTGGTCCCAAGAGGCAAAATGGCAGAGAAGGTGGCTGGATGGGTGGGGCTCCCAAGAACTTGTTTCTCTGGCTTCCTCCGGAGGGCAAGACAAGGCTCCAAGCAAGTGACAACTGCTTAAAACAGGCTGGTGACCAGGCCTCGGGCAGACAGAAATGAGTCAGGCTGGGGAGGGCAGGCATGGAGGCAGCTGAGGTGGTGGGAGGGAGCAGAGTGACCACCAAGTATTGAACATCTACTATGTACAGGTACCAGGCTGGGCATTTTCTCTCATTTCATTTGCCTTCTAACCTTACTTGTTCCTGCAGCACCCATTCCCTGCTCCTTTTTGCCCTCTCTGCACTTCTTTCCATGAGGGAATGAAAATGTCCTTCACCATCAAGCTTTATTGCTGGTGGTTTGGATTAACTGGAAAGGTACAATTATAACGATTCATGACTCTGGCAGTCCCCATGCTGCATGTGGGACAGTCCTTTTCCAATTTAGAAGTGTGTCTAATGAGCTCCACGCACCTCTCCCCCTGGCAACTGCACTGTGTGTGCTGCCAGACACAGCCCCCAGCTTGGCGGACTCCAGCTGCTTCGTCCTTTTGCTGCTCTGATAATGCGCACTGATGCCCATTTCTTTCCTAAAGGGCCTCATCTATTTTATCCAGGACGTGTAAAATACATGTTTCAAAATATCCAGCATTAGAACATGGATATACAGGGATTCCCTCACGGGAAGGTCTGAGCAAAAGATGAATGAGCTGAGAAGATGCCAGACATGTTACATCACCACCTTTAACCGTGACAACAAGCTGGGCAGCGTTTACTCCCTCCTGAATATGAGGAAGCTGAGGTTCCAGGAGAGGAGGTAAGTTTTTCAAGATCATACAGCTGGCTGGGCACGGTGCCTCACGCCTGTAATCCCAGCACTTTGGGAGGCCAAGGCGGGTGGATCATCTGAGGTCAGAAGTTCGAGACCAGCCTGGCTAACATGGTGAAACCCTGTCTCTACTAAAAATACAAAAATTAGCCGGGTGTGGTGGTGGGCGCCTGTAATCCCAGCTACTTGGGGGGCTGAGGCAGGAGGACTGCTTGAACCTGGGAGCCAGAGGTTGCAGTGAGCTGAGATCATGCCACTGCACTCCAGCCTGGGTGACAAAGCAAGACTCTGTCTCAAAAAAATAATAATAAAATAAAAAAATAAAAATCATACAGCTGAGAACAGAGGAAGACAGGAAGGAACTCAGTTTGTCAGATTCCCAAACTCCATTTATCTCTACTGCACCGACTTGGTCAGTGCCTGACAGAGCCCATCCTTACCCCAGGGACCAGGCACAGGGCCTCACAGAGCCCAGTGTGGGTCCCTGGGACAGAGCGGCAGAGGGAGGGTCACTCCAGGAGCAGACTTGGCAGCATGTCTGGGCCTGGCACCAGCCTCCACCCTACAACCTCAGGCCCCAAGGACAGCCACTCAGGGTGGCTTTGCCGTCTCCCTCTTCTCAGGGCTGACTGAGGCAAAGAAAATAAATTGAGGGTGGAAGGTTCTGGAAATGAAATCAACCAAGTCATGATGAGGCTGAGCTTGGTGGAATTACAGAAACCATGTTCTGGAAAACTATCTATTTCTCTACTTTTAATTTTTTAATCTTTCCCCTTATAGTAAAAGTTATTTTTGAGAAAGGTGTGTCTTTGTTTCTGTGAGCAAAGGAAAAAAGAGATTCCCCTCACTGTGACTAAACCGGGCAGGTCAGCCCGAGGGTCCCAGAGGCACTGCTGTCCACTCAGCCTCTTGGGCTGAGGCCCTGGAGAGGAGGTGCCCAGGCTGGTCCTGTGTGGTGGTGGATGTGGCCCTGTAACCAGGCCTGAGAGAAAGGGTGGAAGGGATGTTCTTCTTTGCTGTAAAGTCACTCACTGGATGAGTATTAAAGAAAGCCTTGTGGCCGGGCGTGGTGGCTTATGCCTATAATCCCAGCACTTTGGAAGGCCAAGGCGGGTGGATCACTTGAGGTCAAGAGTTTGAGACCAGCCTGGCTGACATGGTAAAACCCCATCTCTATTAAAAATACAAAAATTAGCCAGGTGTGGTGGTGCATGCCTGTAATCCCAGCTACTCGGGAGGCTGAGGCAGGAGAATCACTTGAACCTGGGAGGCAAAGGTTGCAGTGAGCCAAGATTGCACCACTGCATTCCAGCCTGGGCAACAGAGCTCAAAAAACAGAAAGAAAGGAAAAAAAGAAAGAAAGAGAGAGAGAGAGACAGAAAGAAAGAGAAAGAAAGAAAGAAAGAAAGAAAGAAAGAAAGAAAGAAAAAGAGAGAAAGAAGAAAGAGAAAGCTTTGTGGTCAGGCGTGGTGGCTCACGCCTGTAATACCAGAACTTTGGGAGGCCGAGGCAGGTGGCTCACTTGAGGATCTGGAGTTTGAGACCAGCCTGGCCAACACGGTGAACCCCGTCTCTACTAAAAATACAAAAAAGTAACCAGGTGTGGTGGCACGCATCTGTAGTCCCAGCTATTTGGGAGGCTGAGGCAGGAGAATCACTTGAACTTGGGAGGCAGAGGTTGCAGTGAGCTGAGATCGCACCACTGCACTCCAGGCTGGGCAACAGAGTGAGACTCTGTCTCAAAAAAAAAAAAAAAAAAAAAAAGACAAGAAAGAAAAGAAAGCTTGCTTCAAGCTGTACTGATGAAGAGGCCAATGTCTCACGCGCATTCTCCCATCCAAGTACTAACCAGACCTGACCCTGCTTAGCTTCTGAGATCAGAGGAGATGATAGGACACCTTCAGGGTGGTATGGCCTTAGATTCATGTGCATTCTGACCAAGTAACTGAACCAGCCAAAGGGGACAAAGCAGACCTCAGAGTAAGAATATTTATAACAATTCTCACAGCAGACACTGGCAGCATATTTACTTTTGCCAGGCCCATTCTTGATGCTTTACATCTGTTAACTCACTTAACCCTCACAATAACTCTGTGAGGTAGGTGTCCCCATTTTACGGACAAGGAAACAGAGGTGCAGAAAGTTTAAAACTTGCTCAGGGCCATGAAAGCTGGTGGTACGCCAGTCCCCAGTGACATGCTCTTTCTAGGTCTTCCCCTGGCAGGCAGCCTCAAGGTTCCACTGGAGCAAGGAGAGCAACTGGCTACAGGGAAGCTGGGAGCCAGCAGTGGGAGGGAACCAAAGCAGGCCCCTGCCCCTCACTCACCTGTCACGCCCACGGCGGACACCGGGCCCACGCGCTGCCCCTCGTGGAGGCCGTACAGGTGCATCTTGTACTTGTGCCCGGGCTCTAGGCCTCCCACGGTGACCTCACTCTCCTTGCCCCCAACACGCACCGCCCGGGGCCGCCCATCCCTGTCCTTGTACTGCACGGTGAAAGAGTCGAAGCTGCCCTGGGGGACGGTCCAGAAGAGGCTCAGCGAATCAGGGGAGGATCCTGTCACTGTCAGCTCCCCCAGGAGCGGCTCCTCGGGGGACTCCGGGGCCTCCGTGCCCAGTTCTGTGGGGCTGGGGGTCTCGTCCACATCCTCCTGAGGAGCTGAGAGAAGAGATAGAGGCATAAAGGGCTGCTGGCTTTGCTGCTGCTGCCCACAGATGACAGCCATGGAAATGCCCTTACGCTGTGGGCTCAGGGGCTCTGTAGCCTTTGTATTTGCCATTCGGTCACTCACGGATGGAGAAGGCTGAGACAGCCCTTGCCCCATCCTGCTCTGGTGGGTTCTGTGGGGGTGAGGGGTCTCCCTTCGTGTCTGAGAAAGGAGCTGAGATGGGAAGAGAGGAAGCCTCTGAGGGTTCTTCCAAACCACGTTCACTGACAGTGCTGACCTCAGACAGTGAGGAGGGCAGTGAGGCCTCTTCCTACCTGTGCCCTCCCCAGGGCACTCTGGCTGCCCCACCCCTCATATGAGGATCTGACCATGGAATGTGCTCTTGCTGTGGCCTCCCCAGGCAGCCCTGCCCCTCCCTCCCCTTTAACCCCAAGGAATGAATTGCTAAGGCAGGGCTCCAGGCATGAGTGGGAGAAAAATTCTGGGGTGAGTGGGATCCAAGGAGAGACATGTCCTTCCCTGGCTGGCTCTGGAATCACAGCCCTGTGGGCACCTACCCGCCCCCTACAGTTAGGTCTCTGCTGAGGCTCCATGGAGTGGGGAGACTGTGGCACAAGGGAAACCAGCCCTTCTGTGACCTGCTACATGGGGGACTACTTTGGGATAGCAGATTGAGGAAAGAATTGGCAAGAATGACAACCCAGAGGAAGGGAGGGAGGTGGGGAGCAAAAAAGATTACTGGGAAGTGAGAGAGTCAGGGAGAAATTGCAGCTCACTCTGAAAATGCTTTGCTGCTCCAAGCACTATTCTAAGTGTGTGGGCTTTTTTTGTTTTTGTTTTTGTTTTTTTTTTGAGATGGAGTCTCACTCTGTCGCCCAGGCTGGAATGCAGTGGCGCGATCTCGGCTCACTGCAAGCTCCGCCTCCCGGGTTCACGCCATTCTCCTGCCTCATCCTCTTGAGTAGCTGGGACTACAGGCACCTGCCACCATGCCTGGCTAATTTTTTGTATTTTTAGTGGAGACACGGTTTCACCGTGTTAGCCAGGATGGTCTCGATCTCCTGACCTCGTGATCCACCCGCCTTGGCCTCCCAAAATGCTGGGATTACAGGCATGAGCCACTGTGCCTGGCCTTTCTAAGTGTTATACATATATTAACTCATGTAATTCCAACAGCTCTGTGCAGAGGGACTGAAATCCAGCCACCTGACAGAAGGGAAAGCTGAGGCACAGAGAGGTTAAGCAATTTGCACAAGGTCCTACAGGAAGTAAGTTGCAAGGCTGGTAGTGAGACTCGGGCAGTTGGCTCCGGAGTCTTTGCTCCTAACCACTATCCACACTATCTCTCATCAAATAATTCACAGGCCAGGGGAATGGCACTGGACAGGGAAAGGCTGGGGACATGGAGGAACAGGCTGGGATGCTGGGCTGAACACAATCCCTTTGCCCTGTTCCAAGGGGGCTGGGAGTCAAGGAGTCGGGAGCTGAGAGGAGTCCTCTTCATGCTGCAAAAAGGCTAGAGAAACGTGGTGCTCTTGTCACTTGGATCTGCCACCTCTGAACACAGCAGAAATGGCAGGAGGTTGTGGGCAGCAGGTGACAGAAGCCCAGAAGTGACCATGGCCCAAACCAGACCATGAAGGAGCCCAGTAAAAACTGAGGGGTGAGAACACAGTGACCGAATGGTGAGGACATCTGTGGGGAGGACAGCCCCAGGTGGAAGGATGAGTCCAGGTGTTTGGAATGGGGGAAAATAGGACCTGCCCTTGGAGATGAAGAAGTGAGGCTGAGGAAGAGATGAGGAGGTGGAGGCTGGATGAGGGGGACCTGGCATGCAGAGGACAGGAGAGCAGTGCGGGAGGAAGTGGGTGGAGGCTTTGGCAAAATGAGCTGAGAAGGCGAAGATGGAGGGAGGCTGGAAGGAGCCCCAGCCAAGTCCCGCTCACAGGATGGGGCTAGCAGGGGAGGGAGGCCTGGCAGCCATGACTCACCAGTCTTGGCCACCACAGACTCGGGCCCCACACGCTGCCTGCCACGAAGCCCGTAGAGGTTCATCTTATACTTCCGGTCGGGATCCAGGCCGGGGACAGTAACCTCATTCTCATCCCCCGCAACAGGCACTGCCTGGGGCTGCCCCTGTGCATCCTTGTACTGGACCATGAATGAGTCGAAGGGGCCCTGGGCCACTGTCCATGAGAGACGCAAGGAGTCTGGGGTCACGCCGGTCACTGTCAGTTCCCCCAGGAGGGGCTGCTCCAGGAACTCAGGGCGGGGGGGCTCCTCTTTCCTCTCTGGAGCTGTAAACAAGGAGATCCAGCCAGGTGCTGAACTGGCAGCCTGGGACTGGGGCTTGGGGTTTCGACGGGATGTCACACCTATGGGGGGTGGGGGGTCACTAGTCCATTAATTCGAGTGCTAAACTTCTGGGAAGCCTGACACAGCCAGGGTATGACACACCTTCTGGGCCACGGGGAGCTGCTGCTTGGGATGGAAGGGGCCCAGCAGTGCGGGGGAGTCTGGCTGCCCCTCAGCCCTGGAGTGGGGCCGGGAAGCTGGAGTCAGCTGTCTTGCTGGGGGACCCCAGCTGGTTTTGGGCTGAAGGGAAGTGTGCATGGGGCTGAGAAGGGGTCACATGGGGGCTGAGGTGGCTGCTACTCACCAGTGGTGCCATCGGCCGTGAGGGGGCCATACCGCTTCTTGTTCGCAATTCCAAACAGAGTGAATCTGTACTTGTGGTCAGGGTCCAGTGAGGAGACAACAAATGAACGCTCGGGCCCTTCCACAGGTACCACCTGGGGCCGTCCATCCCTGTCCCTGTACTGGACCATGAAGGTGTCAAACTGGCCCTCAGGGACAGTCCAGGAGAGGTGCAGTGAATCTGGGGTAGGGTCTGTCACCCACAGGTTTCCCAGGCGGGGTGGAGTCCCTGGACTTGGGTCACTCTGAGGCACTAGGAAGAGTGGGTAGAGAGAAGGGAGAGACTTAGGTCCAAGGAGAATGGGGAAGCCAAATCCCACATAGGAATGCTGTGTGAGGCTGTGCAGGTTGTTCACTGCACAAAAGTGCATTTGCTGAGGGAGTACAGAGGGACTGAAATCCAGCCAGCACTCTGCTTGCCGAGCTGTGTGCCCTGGTGAGGAGTGGTGTCCACTTTAAGGAATGGGTGCCTTCTTTCAAACGGCATGGAAGCACTGCGTGGACTAGTGTGGCTCTGCCTCCAACCACAAACCAGAGCAGCAGGGAGCTTCAGAAAGAGGGGAGCCCAGCCAGGCCCTTTCACATCTCCATAGCCAGGGAAATCTTCCCAGTACAACCTCCACTGCTTCCAAGCCTAACTACTAGCTGGCTTCTTCTCCAAGAGAGGAGAGCACAATCCTTGAAGCGTTTTAATGTGGGACAGCCTCCCTCATCTATGCTGCAGGCCTCTCCTCCTCTTTGGGAACTTTGACCCATGGATGGACTCCCTCGCCTGCAGCACTGACCCTTCACTCCCCAGCAGTTGTGCCATCAGCATTTCAACAAGCTACTGTCACACCCCTCCTCACCCCCACTCTGTGTGCATCTCTCTCTAGCCTCCATCTTCCCTCTTTGCTCTCATTCCCAGCCCAGATTCCAGAAAGTGATGTCTACACTGATTGCAGCCATGTCCTCACCTCCACCACCCTCCCGATCCAGCTCCACCCCTCCACCAGGCAGCAGCTCTCATGCAGGCCAGGGGTGGCCTTGCCATTGCTAAATTCTGTGGACGCTCCGTAGCCCTTGAATCACTGTTCCGGAATCTGACAAGTCCAACCGCACCCTCCTTCCTGGAGTCCAGACAGCACCCTCCCTGGTTCTGCCCCTCCCTGCAAGTCACTCCGCAAGCTACCCTGTGGGCTCTTCTTCCTCTGCCTCCGCTGTGAGTGTAGGCTGTCGACAGGGTTCCAGTGGCCCTGTCTCTTCCCCAACCCCACACGACTACTCTGGTGCCTCAATTCTCCTGACCTATAAAGTAGGCATGCCTCCCAGGTGTGCTTTATGGGGTGTGATGATCCACTTAGAGAACATCTTGATCACAACTGACTCTCAATAAATGCACAAAAGGTATTTATGTAAGTGTCTCTTAGATATTGATCTAAGTTTATCTAAGGCGTTGTTCCCCACCTCTGCTGCTCCCTGCCTCAGGGAATGGGACTGTCTCATCCAGAACCCTGGGGGCTGCCTGGTACACCTTGCTTTCCTTCGCCTCCCCCATCCAGCCCCACTGCCACCATCCCAGCTGACCCATCATCATTTTTCTTTTTTTTGAGACAGGGTGTTGCTCTGTGCAGAGTGTGGATAGCACCCAGGCTGGAGTACAGTGGCACAATCATGGCTCTCTGCAGCCTCGGTCTCCTGGGCTCAAGCGATCCTCCCACCTCAAGCCTCTCAAGTAGCTGGGACTACAGGCACGCACCACCACGCCTGGCTAATATCTTTTGTTATAGTAGAGATGGGGGGTCTCACTATGTTGCCAGGTTGGTCTCAAACTCCTAGCCTCAAGCGATCCTCCTGCCTTGGCCTCCCAAGGTGCTGGGATTATAGGCAGGATCAACCCTGCTAGCCTTTACCAGCTCTTAACTCACTTCTCCAGCTAGTCTCAGCAGCCACCCGGTTATTTGCAAGATAAATATCTAGTCTCATCACTCTCCCACTTTACCCTTCAGAGGCCCTCTAGGGGCCTTCGAATGAGGCCCAAGCCCCTCAGCACAGCACAGGAAGCCCTGAGACCAGGCCCTTTGGCACCCCCCACATGCCCTGTTCTCCAGCCAGAGGAAACTGTAACAGTGATTCTCTTACTGGCCATGCTCTCCCCACCTTACTCACCGTGACTCCCTCAGGCTGCACTGAGCTTCTCAAACTCTTTGCCTGCCCCACCACTACTTTCCCTTCAGAATTCAGCTCATGCACCACTGCCTCCAGGAAGCCTTCCCGGAGCTCCCAAAGCAGGTTCCCAAAGCACTGAGAAAACCTCTTCAGGGCAGTACAGAGGGCAGGGTGTTACTGCTGTCACTCACAGATCTTGGCTTCAGCCACCAGCGGACCATGCCTCTTCTTGCCAACAAACCCATACAGGACAAATTTGTACTTGCGGCCAGGATCCAGGGAGGTGATGACGGCCGAGCGCTGGGGTCCTTCCACGGGCACCACCTGGGGCTGCCCGTCCCTGTCTTTGTACTGGATCACGAAGGAGTCAAACTCGCCCTCGGGGACCGTCCAGCGCAGGAGCAAGGAGTCGGAGGTCCTGTCTGTCACCGTCAGCTCACCCAGGCGTGGTGGGCCTGAGGACTTCCCAGGCTTCTCCTCATCCTTGTCTGGAGTTTGAGAGGCAAAAGCAAAGCATAGTGGACTCAACCGTTCTCTTGTCTGTGTCTCCTTCCCTCTCCCCTGCCCACCTCACTCCATCCTGGATAGATCCCTCCCCGGAAGACTCTATCTGCCCACCCCTCAGTGACTAGCTCTTCTGGAAGAGGGGCATTTCCCTCTCAATCTCTGCTTCTTCCCTTGTGACAGTTTCTCCATCCCTCACAAGGTCTTGGTCTCTCTGCACACCAGGATCTTTGCGGGGGTTTCAGGTCCCCCTGGTTCTGAATGAGAGTTTCAAGCCTCCCTGCTGCAGCATCAGAGCAGTCTGAAAGCTCCTCTGCCCACCTGAGCTGCTGTCTCTCTTACCACCCTCTCTTCCAGTGGTGAGCTTGACCTGGAGCTGGGGGATGAGTCAGCCACCCTGGTCCCACAGAGAGGAACAAAGAGGGGATGTGAAAGCCAGGTACCCCAGGACCTGTCTTTCACTGGTCCTGCAAACCTCATCCATGTCTGAAGTCCTGATGGCTGTGGAGCCCCCTGCCCCAAGGAGCCTTCACCCCCAGCAGAAACTGGCTGATGGGACCATGGACTGCTGTCCACTGCAAACCAGGCTCCCAGGGACGAGGTATTGGGGGCTGAGGGTCAGTGTCCAGAGGCCTTCCCATGCCCACCCTGAAAGATTTATAGGGCAGGGAAGGGCAGAGGAGCAACCGAAGAGTGGGGGCAGGGGACAGGGCAAGGAAAGCTGCAGGTGGAGGGCCAGGGACCTTCAGCCTCTCTCCTGGAATCTCTGTCCCACCCTCGGCCTTTTTACCTCTGCCTCTTTCCCCTCTCCCCACCCATCCTTATCATTGTTTTAAGATCCCCCTCGATCCATCTTCCTGCTGAACCTGCAATTCCTTTTCTCTCCTTTTCTCCTCTATCCAGCCCCAAACATCAGCCCTGCCCTTCACTGGCCCCTCAATATCCATCCTACCTCTGAAGTCCCAATAACCCCAGCTCCTCCCCCAATCTCAGGATATTGATCTGAGCAGAGTCCAAGATGTACCCATAATGCCTTGGTAGATGATGGGGTCAGAGGGCTTGCCCCCAGGAGGGACCCCATGAAGTGACAGCTCATACGGGGTTCCAGGAGGGGGTGGAGGCACCAGAGCCTGGCGGACGTCCCCTGGCAGCACTTCCTCATGTGCCCCCGGCCCCTCGGGCACCCGCATGCGCAGTTGGAAGTAGGCAAAGGTGTCAGGCTGGGCGGTCCAGACCACACGGAGGCGCCCTGTCTCATCTCTGCCCAGCACCCTCAACTCTCCCAGCTCCTGGGGGCGCTGCTGCAGGAGAGGAGCCTGGGCCCCTTGCGTCGTCGAGGGGCCTGAGGGAGGAGGCTCATCGGTAGTCCCCAAGAGGCCCAAGGGTGAGGACCCTGGGAAGGGGCAGGGTGAGAAAAAGAGGAGAGTCCAGTATGAGAACTAGAAAGGAATCCCCAGTCCCCAGGTTCTGCCCTCCAGCCTCTAAGAGCCTTGTTCTACTTCTACTTCTGGTTCCCTCACCTGGGCCACTCCCTCCTCCCAAAGGTCAGCCAATCCTCCAAACACCCCCATCTACCACATTCCTGAGCAGACGGGCCTGTGCTTCAGGCAGGTAATAGGTAAAATAAAGCCTGCTATCCTTCACCCCACAAGGCTTCCATGACCTCCAGCCCCCGGAGACTTCCATGTCCCTCCCCACATACATCCCCCCCACTGGGTGGTGGTCAGGTGGCTTCCATTAGTGCTGCAGTGAGAAGCCTGGAAGAAAGACAGTGGTGTTAGAGAGGGAGGATGCAAGAGGAGAGTGGGCAGTGGGAAGAGAGAGAGGGTGTGGGGGTGGACATCCAGGTCAGGTGGCATCTGGGCCCTATGGGGGAAGAAGAGGTCCACCACCCTCCCCACAGCAGCCACAGGGTGCCCTTTCCCCAAGCCCAGACATCGTTCCTGTGGGAGAGACCAGCATAAAGTGAGCCAGGGGGTCTGAAAAGCCAGCTTAAGAAGCAGTGGTTTCACCTCCCCAATATACAGTTGCTGCCTGATGGCACCCAGGCCACCCCCACGCAGTTCTGATGTGTCCCTTCAAGGTCAAGGCCAAATTGTGGAAAACAGTAACCACTAACCACAGTCTTCAGCCACTCTCACCACAGTGAGTCAGAACGGGAATCACTGTTTTCAATTCCCAGCCCACTCAAACTGCTCCAGTGAATCTTTGCAGGTGCCCCAACCACATCACCCTCTATTGCCTAAAATAACAATCCTGGAAGTGTCCCGGGAAACCCCAAAGAAGGCGCTGCCTTGACCTTAGGCATCCACAGGATGGATGCCAGGACCCTGGGGTGGGGACGTCTTCTAGGGACAATGGACTCGTGCTTTGTCCTGGGGGCCCCCTGGAGCCCCGGCCAGGTAGGGCCTGAAGGTAGAAGGGGGCAGTGGGGGGTGGCAGTGGGAGGAATTCATGAATGCAGGCTCCAACGGCAGGTGAGGCTGGACAAGGGATAGGTGTCCCGTGGCCCCAGCCCACACTACCTGTGGTGGTGATGAAGGCGTAGGACTTGGAGGTCTGCCCCGCCCGCACCCCGTGGACCTCCACGTGGTAGGTGGTGCCGGGCCTGAGGTCGGGCAGGCTGACGGTGCGCGTGGTGCCCGGCACAGTCAGCTCACCGCCGGGGCCCTCTGCAGGCGGCTGAGGCCGCCAGCGCAGCACCACGCGCTCGAACTGGCCGCGGAGCCCGTCGAGAGACACGAGAAGCGCGCCATCGGCGGAACTGCCCAGCACCTCTGGCTTGGGGTGGCGGGACGCAGCCACCCGGTCGACGCCTTCAGGCGAGAGGCCGTAGATTCCCTGGTTGGAGTCCCGTTTCCTGGTGCCGGGATCAGGGCTGGCGGTGGGGCGGGGGTGGCGGGGCGGGGGTGCGGGGGAGCCGGCTGGGGCGGCGGCC